>NC_000007.14:148549288-148700804 GCF_000001405.40 Homo sapiens
GAGAACCTATAGGTAAATGTTTGTATTCGTTTTATCCATGATCACTAAAAACTGGAAGCAACCAAGATGTCTTTCATAAACAAAACTATGGTACATCTATTTCATAAAATGCTACTCAGCAATACAAAGAACAGATTATTCTTGCAACAACAGGCAATCTCAAATGCATTTAGTTAAAAAAGTCAGATCTAAAAGGCCACATATTTTATGATTTTCTTGATATGATATCCTGGAAAAGGCAAAACTATTAGATAGGCGCTTAGATCAATGGTTACCAGGGATTGGAGTTGGGGAACAGGATGACATCAAAGGGATAGCATGATAGAGTTTTTGGAGTGATGGAATTGTTCTGTAGCATGACTGTGATGGTGGGTACATCACTGTCAAAACCTACACAACTGCACGTCACAAACAGTGAATTTTACTGTAAGTCAATTTAAAATAAAATATAAAATAGATTTTTAAAATTTAAAAAATACAACACCTGCAAACTACTTTTATTACAGCTGTACCCATGTACTCAGCCTTCCCTCCTGAGTTCAGGCCATACGGGCTATATGATATCAATTTTTGGAATTTGATGACTATTTTTGTGGCCTAATACGTGGTCAATATCTGTAACTACTTTGTTGTATTTGATAAGAATGTGTATTCTCTGTTTGCTGGGTACAGAGAATCTTATTTGACCAGGCTTGTTATCTGTATTACTTAAATTCTCTATATACTCACTGATGTTTGGCTTGCATGATTTATCAGTTTCTGAGAGCACTGTTAAATATTCTCATTGGCTTTGTCAGTTTCCCCTGGTAGTTCCATCAGTTTTTCCTTTCTGTACTTTGAAGCTATGTTATTGAGTACATAAATGTTTATGATTGTTATATCTTCTTGTTAGATTGCCTCTCTCATCAGTATGAAATATTCCTTCTTGTCCCTTTTTGCTTTGAATTATATCTGATATCAATATATCTGTGTGGCTTTTCATTTTGGTAATATTTTCATTATTTTTCTCCTCCTTATTTTCAGTCTTCCTATGTCATCTTCATTAAGAGTATTATTTCTAAATGTCACATGGTTAATTTATTTTTTATTTATCTGAGATTTTTTGCCTTTCATAGGCATAATTATCACATTCATATTTTTTAACAAATATATTGATTTGTTATTTACTAGGATCTTGCTCCTTCTAATCCTATTTTACATTTCCTATTTTCAGTACCTTTTTTTTTTTTTTTTTTTTTTTTTTTTTTTTACATATAGCAAGTGATTTTTTTTGTCCCAACTTTTATTTTAGATTCAGCCAGTACATGTGCAGGTTTGTCACCTGGGTATATTGCATGATGCTGAGGTTTGGGGTATGAGTGATCCTGTCACCCAGGTACTGAGCACAGTACCCAAGAGTTAGTTTTTTCAACCCTTGCCCCACTCACTCCCATTCCCCTCCAGTAGTCCCCAGTTTCTATTGTTGCCATCTTTATGTCCCTGCATACCCAATGTTTAGCTCCCACTTATAAGTGAAAACACATAGTATTTGGTTTTCTGTTCCTTCTTGAATTAACTTAGGATAATGGCCTCCAGCTGCACCCATATTGCTGCAAAGGACATGATTTCATCCTTTTTCATGGGCACTTAGGTTGGTTTCATGTCTTTGCTATTGTGAATAGTGCTGCAACAAACATACCAGTACATGTGTCTCTTTGGTAGAATGATTTGTTTTCTTTTGGATATATAACCAGTAATGGGATTGCTGGATCAAATGGTAGTTCTGTTTTAAGTTTTTGAGAAATCTCCAAATTACTTTTCACAGTGGCTGAACTAATTTACATTCCCACCAACAGTGTCTATGTGTTCCCTTTTCTCCACAGCCTCATCAGCATCTGTTGTTTTTTGACTTTTTAATCATAGCCATTCTGATTGGTGTGAAGTGGATCTCACTGTGGTTTTGATTTGCATTTCTCTGATGATTTGTGATATGGAGTGTTTTTTCATGTTTGCTGGCTGCTTGTATGTCTTCTCTTAAGAAGTGTCTATTCAAGTTCTTTGCCCATTTTTTGATGTGGTTTTGTTTTTTGCTTGTTCAATTGTTTAGGTTACTCACAGATTCTGGATATTAGGCCTTTGTGGGATATGTAGTTTGCAAACATTTTCTCCCATTCTGTAGGCTGTCTATTTACTCTGTTGATAGTTTTTTTGCTCTGCAGAACCTGTTTAGTTTAATTATATCTCACTTGTCAATTTTTGTCTTTGTTGCAATTGCTTTTGAGGACACAGCTATAAATTCTTTCCCAAGGCTGATGTCCAGAATGGTGTTTCCCAGGTTTTCTTCTAGGATTCCTATAGTTTGAGGTCTTACATTTAAATTTTTAATCCATCTTGAGTTAATTTTTGTATATAGTGAAAAGTAGGGGTGTAGTCTGAATCTTCTGTACATGGATAGCCAGCTACCCCAGCACCATTTATTCAACCGGGAGTACTCTCCCCATCTTTTGTCTTTGTACCTGCCAAAGATCAGATGGCTGTAGGTGTGCAACTTTATTTCTAGGTTCTCTATTCTGTTCCATTGGTGTATGTGTCTGTTTTTGTACCAGTATCATTCTGTTTTCGTTACTATAGCCTTTCAGTACAAAGCTGGGTAATGTGATAGCTCCGGCTTTGTTCTTTTTGCTTAGGATTGCTTTGGCCATTCAGCCTCTTTTTTGGTTCCATATTAATTTTAGACTAGTTTTCTTTGAGTTTTGTGGAAAAATGACATCGGTAGTTTGATATGAATAGTGTTGAATTTGTAAACTGCTTTGGGCACTTATGGCCATTTTAACAATATTAATTCTTCTAATCCATGAGGATGGATGTTTTTCTATTTGTTTGTGTCATCTATGATTTCTTTTAGCAGTGCTTTGTAGTTCTCCTTGTAGAGATCTTCCACCTCCTTGGTTAGATGTATTGCTAAGTATTTTATTTTTTGTGGCCATTGTAAATGGGATTGTGTTCTTGATTTGGCTCTCAGCTTAAATGTTATTGGTGTATAGAAAAGGGACAAGTTTTTGTATATTGATTTTATATCCTGAAACTTTGCTGAAGTCGTTTATCAGTTCCAGGGGCCTTTTGGTACTGTCTTTAGGGTTTTCTAGGTATAGGATCATATCATCTACCAAGAGAGATAGTTTGCCTTTCTTTCTATTTGGGTGCTTTTTACTTCTTTCTCTTGCCTGATTGCTCTGGCTAGCACTTCCAGTATTGTGTTGAATAGGAGTGGTGAGACTGGGCATCCTTGATTTGTTTCAGTTCTCAAGGGAAATGCTTCCAGTTTTTGCCCATTTAGTATGATGCTGACAGTGGGTTTGTCATAGATAGCTCTTATTATTTTGAGGCATATTCCTTCAATACCTAGTTTCTTGAGGGTTTCCATCATGAAGGGATGTTGGACTTTATCAAAAGCTTCTTGTGCATCTATTGAGATGATCACATGGATTTTTCATTTTCAATTTTGTTTATGTGGTGAATCACATTTCTTGATTTACGTTATGTTGAACCCAACTTCCATCCCAGAAATGAAGCGTACTTGATCATAATGAATTAACTCTTTTTTTCAGGAAGTTGTTTTTACTGTGAATGAAGAACATACTTGAAGTCCTACCACAGTGCCTAGCACACAGGGAGACTTTGATATATATTTTCAGAATAAGAGAACATAAAGGCAACTCTTACTGTGCCTTCTGTCATTTCTCTCCTAATAATTAGCAAATTTTAGAATATCCGGACCACTTCCACCCTTAATCACCCACCAGTTAAAGACATTAAGCAGCATAAATTAACTTTTTGATGTGTTGTTGGATTCAGTTTACAGTATTTTGTTGAGGATTTTTCCATGTATGTTCATCAGGGACATTGGCCTGTAGCTTTCTTTTTTTTGTTGTGTCTTTGCCAGGTTTTGGTATCAGGGTGATGCTGGCTTTGTAGAATGAGTTAAGGAGGAGTCCCTCCTCCTCAATTTTTTTGGAATAGTTTCAGTAGAATTGGAACTAGCTTTTCTTTGTATGTCTGGTGGAATTGGGCTGTGAATCTAAGTGGTCTGGGGCTTTTTTTTTTTCCTTTGGTTTTTTTTTATTACTGCTTCAGTTTCAGAACTCAATATTTTGTTCAGGGTTTCAATTTCTTCCTGAAACTGGGAAGAAGGTTGTATGTTTGCGGGAATTAATCCATTGCCTCTAGATTTTCTACTTTGTGATCACAGAGGTGTTCATAATAGTCTCCGAGGATCTTTTACATTTCTGTGGGATCAGTTGTAATGTCACCTTTGTCATTTCCAATTGTACTTATTTGGATCTTCTCTCTTTTTTATTCTTTGGCTAACAGTCTGTCAATCTTGCTTATCCTTTCAAAACACCAATTTTTGGTTTCATGGATTCTTTGGATGGATTTTGGGGGGTCTCAATTTCATTCAGTGGTGCTCTGATTTTAGTTATTTCTTTTCTTCTGCCAGCTTTGGGGTTAGTTTGTTCTTACCTTTCCAGCTCCTCTGGTGTGATGTTAGGTTATTAATTTGAGATATTGCTAACTTTTTGAGGTAGGCGTTTAGCACTATAAACTTTCGTCTTAACACTGCTTTTGCTGCATTCCAGAGATTTTGGTATGCTGTGTCTCTGTTTTCATTTATTTCAAATAACTTTTTGATTTCTGCCTTAATTTTGTTTTTACCCAAAAGTCAAATATTAGCAAGTTGTTTAATTTCCATGTAATTCTGCTTTTGAGAAATCTTCTTGGTATTGATAACTATTTTTATTCCTCTGTGGTTCAAGTGTACAATTGGTATGGTTTCAGTTTTTTTGAATTGATTAGACTTGCTTTATGGCCAAGTGTGTGGTCAATCTTGCAGTACATTCTGTGCCCAGATGAGAAGAATATGTATCCTGTGGTTTATGAGTGAAGTATTCTGTAGATGTCTATTAGGTACAATTGGTCAAGTGTAAAATTTAATAAGTCTAGAATTTCTTTGTTAGTTTTCTGCCTCAATGATCTTTTTTTTTTTTTTTTTAAGACGGAGTCTCGCTCTGTCACCCAGGCTAGAGTGCAGTGGCAAGATCTCCGCTCACTGCAAGTTCTGCCTCCTGGGTTCACGCCATTCTCCTGCTTCAGCCTCCCGAGTAGCTGGGACTACAAGTGCCTGCCACCACGCCCGGCTAATTTTTGTATTTTTAGTAGAGACAGAGTTTCACTGTGTTAGCTAGAATGGTCTTGATCTCCTGACCTCGTGATCCGCCCGCCTCGGCCTCCCAAAGTGCTGGGATTACAGCTGTGAGCCACTGTGCCCAGCCCTCAATGATCTTTCTAACACTGTCAGAGAGGTGTTGAAGCCCCCCCACTAATATTGTGTGGCTACGTCTTTTCATAGGTTTAGAAGTAGTTGTTTTATGAATCTGGGTACAACAATGTTGGGTGCATATATATTTAGGATAGCTAAGTCTTCTTGTTGAATTGAATGCTTCATCATTATGTAATGACCTTCTGTTTGTCCTTTTTTACTGTTGTTGGTTTAAAGTCTGTTTTATCTGATATAAGAATAGCAACCCCTGTTCTTTTTTGCTTTCCATTTGCATGGTAGACCTTTCTCCAATCCTTTACTTGGAGCCTATGGGTGTCATTACATGTGAGATGAGTCTGTTGAAAACAGCAGATGGTGGCCGGGTGTGTTGGCTCACACCTGTAATCCCAGCACTTTGGGAGGCCAAGGTGGGCGGATCATGAAGTCAGGAGTTTGAGACCAGCCAGTTCGAAAGCAGCCTGGCCAACATGGTGAAACCCCATCTCTACTAAAAATACAAAAATTAACCAGGCATGGTGGTGCACACCTGTAATCCCAGCTACTCGGGAAGCTGAGGTAGGAGAATTGCTTGAGCTCAGGAGGCGGAGGTTGCAGTGAGCCGAGTTCTTGCCACTGCACTCCAGCCTGGGCAACAGAGCAAGACTCCATCTAGGAAAAAAAAAAAAAAAAGAAAAAGAAAACAGCAGATGGATGGTCTTGTTTTTTATCCAACTTGCCACTTGATGCCTTTTAACTGGGGCGTTTAGACCATTTACATTCTAGGTTAATATTGATATCTGAGGTTTTGATCCTATTGTGAAGTTGTTATCTGGCTTGCTTTGTAGTTTCTATCATGTGGTTGCTTTCTAGGGTCTGTGGGCTACATACCTAAGTGTGTTTTTGTGGTAACAGGTAGCATTCTTTCATTTTCTTTTTTTTCCTTTTTCCTTTTTTTTTTTTTTTTTGAGACAGAGTCTTGCTCTGTCACCCAGGCTGAAGTGCAGTGGTGCCATCTCAGCTCACTGCAACCTCTGCCTCACGGGTTGAAACAATTCTCATGCTTCAGCCCTCAAGTAGCTGGGACTAGAGGCACACACCACCACACTCAGCTAATTTTTGTATTTTTAGTAGAAACAAGGTTTTACTGTGTTGGCCAGGCTGGTCTTGAATTCCTGACCTCAAGTGATTCATCCGCCTCGGCCTCCCAAAGTGCTGGGATCATAGGCACCAGCCACCATGGCCCACCCGTTCTTTCATTTTCACATTTACAGCTCCCTTAAGGACCTCTGTGATGCTGACCTAGTGGTAACAAATTCCCTCAGGGCTGGCTTGCTGGAAAATATTTTATTTATCCTTCACTTGTGAAGCTTAGTTTAACAATATATGAAATTCTTTTTTGAAATTTCTGGTCTTTAAGAATGCTGAATATAGGTTCCCAACCTCTCCTGGCTTGTAAGCTTTCTGCTGAGAAGTCTGCTGTTAGCCTGATGGGATTCCTTTTGTATGTGACCTAACCTTTTTATCTAGCTGCCTTTAAGATTTTTTTCTTTAGTATTGTCTTTGGACAGTCGGGTGACCAAGTATGCCTTGGTGATGTTCATTTTGTATAGTACCTCGCAGGTTTTCTCTGAATTTCTGGTATCTGGATATCAAGCTCTCTAACAAAATGAGAAAATTTTTCTTTAATTATTCCCTCAAATGTGTTTTCCAGGTTGTTTGCTTTTTCTTCTCTCTCAGGAAGGCCAATAATTTGTATGTTTGGTTGCTTTACAAAATCCCATATTTCTTGAACATTGTTCATTTTTTTAAATTCTTTTTTCTTTATTTTTGTCTGACTGAATTAATTTGAAAGACCGGTCTTCAAGTTCTCAAATTCTTCTGCTCAGTCCAGTCTATTGACAAAGCTTTCCACTGTATTTTGAAATTCCTTAAGTGAGTTTTTCAATTCCAGAAGCTCTGATTTCTTTTTAGGATGTTTACCTCTTCCATCATTTACTGGATTGCTTTAGAAGTTTCTTCATATTGATTATTAACCTTGTCTTGGATCTCATTGAGCTTCCTCGTAATTCATGCTTTGAATTTATTAGCTATTTCTTCATTTCCATTTTAGTTAGGGACCATCGCTGGAAAGCTAGTGTGATCCTTTGGTGGTGTCACCACATTCGGATTTTTGATGGTGCCAGAATTTTTATATTGATTCCTTATCTAGAGATGCTGGCACTTCTAATTTTTGTAATTATTTTCATGAAGGTAGGATTTTTTTTCTTTTTTCCCCCATAATGTTATTTTTTTGTTGTTACTACTCTTTTCTTTCTTTCTCCCCCACCCTCCACTCTTTAGTGGGTGTGACTATAGAGAATGCTTGGTGAGGTCATTTGGCTTTGCTTCTACAGCCCTATGCACTTCTGTCAGCAGGTTTTATATTGGACTATGCAGTTTGACCTACAAGCTGTAGATGGCACTTATAGGTAAGAGCCTGCTGCTGCCAACATGACTGGGTATATACTTGATCCTTGTTTACTGGGAGAAGTTTCTCTGTTGCCTCAGGTAATGCGCTGATTTGTGGAGTGCACAATGGTCTGACTCCCTGCTCAGCCCCTTCATGGGCGGGGGTAGGGAGCCAACACTGGTGAAGCCAGACCAGGCAGGTCCACCTACGGTCCCTGATGGCAGGCACAAGCACCAGTGCTAACTGAGAATCCAGTAAGCTGTTGCCAAGTGCCCAAAGGCTTGCCTAGGCAGGGAGTTGGGAAACTTCCTTGACCCCAAGTTCTCTGCACAGAGATGGAGGCAGCCTAAATTCCTAATCCAGGAGAGTAGGTGCTCCAGATGCCTGGAGATCTGCCTGGGTGTGGAACAGAGAGGGCCCCCTTGTACCAGGGTTTCTGCCCATGAAGGATATGGCTCAGGCTGATCCAGACAAGCAAGTGCTCCGAGTGCCTGGATTTCTGCCTAGGGGTGAAGCAAAGAGGGCCCCACTGCACCATGATCTCAAAGGAGCAGTTGGGGCACACAGTAATGGCACACACAGACCACCAAGGTGGTCACCAACCTGGCCCTAGCTACAAGTCTCACTGCCCAGGAGAAACTACAGCTGTAGAAGCTCTCCTCCCACCGGAGACTTGTGTTGGAAGAGAGCACAATCCCAGAACCTACTGCTGAGGAGCTTTCCACAGTTCTGACTGTAGAGGTTCCTACCCTGCTCTAGAGGAGGTGCTCCAATCTCCGGCCCAAGACTAAAATTCCTGCATGACTATGCTGTTAGGTCGCCAAATAATGGCTGACTTTGTATGCCTCCAGATTAAAAATGGTGTCCTGCTCTTGATCCTGGGTCTGGAAAAATGTCTATAGCTTTGTCTGGTGTCTGTCCTCAGCATCTACAACACTGTCCCCACATTAGCTCCAGGGCTTGGAAGAATGAAAGTGCTCTCCCTCAGCCTGGATTGCTGAGATCCCCGGTGGAAAGGTGAGTCATAGAGGGAGGTTCTCTGCCTCTCTCACACATGGGGGCTTCACTAACTTTAATCAGTGGGATGCCATCATGGAGGCTGTTTACCAGTATTCTCCTCCACAGGATCTGGGGCGTCCTTCATGATTCTGGTGGATTTCCATTTTTCTTCTTGAATTAAACTCACAGAGTTGATCTTTGTGCACCATCTTGCTATTTCCAAGTGGCTGAGGCATGCTGAAAGCTTCCAATCCACCATGTTGGGAAAAAAAGGTGGGGAGTGCTTTCTTTTTTTATTCTCTTCTTTCCTGCTTTTAATTAGCTTTCCTTTGTTCTTTTTTTTCACTATTAATTGATAAGTTTACATTATTTTACTATTTTTCTCAGGTTATCCTTAAATTTAATATTTTATAACAAAACCTACAGTCAATTAATTTCTATCTTACTCTACTTCCAACCTCCAGGCAAGAAGAGAATCAGTTCACTTTTATTCTACCTTCCCTGGCCCTCCTCCATTACCTCCATTTCCTGTGACTTTCATAGTGATGTGGTCTGGGATGTTAGGTGTTAGGTTCAATATTTTTTTCAATTTATAAATAATAAAATCGTATTTAATAAAAAAAATGTTGTGGGTTTTGGGTTTTTTGTTGTTGTTTTTGTTGACCAATAGTTTCCTGTATCTCACTATTTCCCCCTGGATTCATTATTCTTCTTATTGGAGCCCCAAGAATTCCTTCAATGAATATCTAAAAATTGTAAATCGTCTGAGCTCTCAAATTACTAACTATAGTTTGTTGTTGTTGTTTTAACTCTTAACTCCTGAATTAACTGACTAAAGAGTTTTGTTTAAGTTACAATTATTCTGCTTTATCACTTTTTTAAAAATGTGAGTTTGTTCTGATACAATTGACATATTAAGGACCAATTAGACATAATGTGATTTGTGTGCTGATGTGAGATTTAGTCCACAAAATACAGAAACCGAACCATAAAAAAATGCACCCAACTGACCTACATAGTAATACACAAAATTCATGTGCACACAGCTCTCTCAAACATCAACCAGCTACCTTAGTATACCACATGTGTTATGAGCCACATCCTTCCACAGCTGGTGTTACAACTTTCCATCCTAATTCAAATAACCCTCCTTCCACCACTCACACCCTTTCCAATGCCCACTTCTACACACAACCTTTAGGTCTTTTTTAAAGTAATGTGCCATATTTGTTGTGGTATTTATATATTTCTTAACAAGTTAGCATGTGTAAAACTGTGTCACCATTTTTTTCTTGGGGTTCTAACTTTTTTTAGATAGGAGCATTTTTAAGGGTCAACATTTTTAGTGTTGTGCCCTATTCCCTTCTTCCCCATAGGCCTGGTGGTTTTTGTTACACGATTTTACATAGTACTTTGATTTTTAGGAGTGCGTATGTCACTTTATAGCAGAACTGACTATATTTTCCTTACTGAAATGTCCTTGTTTCATAATCGCTTGATACTATTTTCATAACACAATACTTTCTCTTACCTCTCTGGCTATATGAGATATATCAAAAGTCCTATTCTGATTGCTTCATTAATTTTGCTTTTTTAGGGATAAGACTATATTGGCTGAATTTGTTTTTTCTCTTTTATCATGGGGCTCATCTCAAAGTTTGGTTATTCTTAATTGTGCATTCATCTTTGTTGAGCTATCTTTGTGACTGCCTGCCACCTCTGTTTGTGCTGGGAGAGGCAGGGATGAGCAAGCCCTGTTGCACTATTACACCATTTTTCATTAGGTTGTGGGGTTTTTTTTCCAACTCACCTGGAGGTTTCAAAAATATCAAAGTAAGATTTCAGCCAAGGCACTCCATTACATGTAAATCTTTGTTTTGCTTTTCTATAGCTGCTATAACAAATTATCACAAATTTAGCAGCTTAAAATATAAATGTATTATCTCACAATTCTGTAGGTCAGAAATCTGGGTAAATTCAGCTGGTTTTCCTGCTTCAGGTATTACAAAGCTAAAGCCAAGGTGTCAGCCAGAGGGGCTTTTATCTGGAGGCTCTGGAAATAAATCTGTTTCAAGCTCATTCAGGTTGTTGGTCGAATTCAGTTCCTTGTGATTGTAGGACTGAGGTCTCCATTTCCTTGCTGGCTGTTGGCTGGAAGTCATGCTCCCAGTCATTCAAAAGACCACCAGGTTCCCTAGCTCACAGCCCCCTTCACCCATCTTCAAAGCCAATGTTGGTAGGTCATGTCTTTCTCATGTTTCGTATCTCTCTAACCTAATCTCCCTTCACCTCTTCTTCCTGCTGTATCTCTCTAACCTACTCTTCCTCCTTCCTCTTCTGCTTTTAAGGGCTCATGCACTGACATTTGGCCAGCCTGAATAATCCAGGATAATCTCACTATTGTAAAGTCAACTGATTAGTAACCTTAACTACATCAGCAAAGCCCCTTCGTACCAGTGCCTAGATTAGGGTTTGATTGAATAACAAGGGGACAGAAATCTTGAGGGCACATCTTTGAAATTCTGCCTACAAAAATCTTAGTATTTGTGTCCATTTTATTTATGTTATACATAAATTTCTTAGGAACTTATCAAATGGTTTCTTGAACTAGATATATGAGTTAGTTTCTATCCCGCTAAGATGGCAAACTTAGATATATTTAGCTAAGTGCTGGCTCTCTCCCCCAAAATTAACCCTGGAGAAATTATAGAAACATGTGCTACAGAAGGAAAAAAAAAATAAGAGAAAACACTGAACTTAGTCTTGAATCAATGTGTATGAGAGAGGTCTGAGGAGGCAGAGTGCATTGGAAGAGACAGTGGGAGGACAGGTTGGAGAACAGCTTTCCATGTTCCATTCTTGCCTCTCTCTCTAAATGCCTTGGGACCATCATGTCTAACCCTTCGCTACAGACATTGGTGAGGACAGCTTAGGCCATGGTGATGTTCATACTGTAGTGTCCAAACAGGAGGAAATCACCCTTCCAGTCCCTTTCTCTCCACACTCCTACTGTATTATGACATATCTTGATACAGACTAGAGCCACATATATTACCTGAAAGAGTAGTTGATAATTCCAAAGGAAGAAAAAAAAAAAACCCTCAGCCAAAGTAACTACTTCCCTAAGTATAACAATAAAAGAAAGACAACAGATGAAACAACATGTTTCATCTAAAGGTAGACCAAGAAATTTAAATAAGCATGATAAAAATGCTTAAGGATATCAGGGACTCAGAGCTACCTCATTGCACAACTCCTGAGGCACCAGTCACACTGCATTCCTGGAGAATGCTACCTTTGAGTTGTACAGTGTGCTAGCCCTGTAAGTGATGATATTACTAATATGATACAAAAATAAGAAGCAAGGAAAACAGAATCAACTAGAAATTTATGTATAAAAATAATATTTTAAGTAACAAAAACAATAGATGTGATAAATAGTTGGATGCTTACTACTGAAGAACAAATTAGTAAATTGGACGATCAGATGAAGACATTTTTAATAATTTGATAAAGCAACAGAGAAAAATAGAGCTTTAAACTACAAAGAAAGAACTAAAGATGCAGAAGTAGAAGCAATAGAATCTTAATAGGAGGGCCAGAAGGAAAAATATATATATATATATATGTATCTGTATATATATACATCTACATATATAATAAAATATGGGAATAAATATTTCAAAAAACAATGACTAGAGAAATCTGGTAGAACCACCTTAACCAAGTGATCAAAATTATCACCAACAACAGAGCAAGATAACACTACATGTATATTCCCAGCTCTAACTAAAAGATAAGGTAGTTGAGCTATATTTAGGAGACTGGACACTTTCTGATTAACTGCCTGGACTCTGGAGTCAGACTGACCAGGTTTGAATCCTGGACCTGCCACATACAAATTGTGTGTGATTTCCTATAAGCTGTTTTGCCATTTGCATCATGGCCTTTGGGGTTGTTTCTAATGTTCCAAAAAACAGAGGGAACAAAAGTTAATTTGTATCATTCATATCATATTTTACATGTCATTACAAAGAAAGAAGCCATTCAAACATTCGGGCTGCGAAGTGTGAAGGACCCACGATCCATTTCACAGATTTCCAGGACAGTAGAGCTAACAGAACCACAAGGGCTTCCTACTTTCTTCCACATATAAGGGCTTGGAAGTCACCACCACCATTCTCAAAACAAGATAAAAGCTGAACAAAATGAAAACCAACAACCCCTCTTACATTCATCAGAGAACAGACGTCACGGGGCAAGCTGCTGGTCCAGAAGCTAGAAAAAGAAGAGGATACCAATAATCACAGCTTAGCAGGAACAGAAGTCCAGAAGCAGGAGCCCTAGGCTGGAGCCAGTGCTGGTAGGAGCACTTGAACTGCAGTTGATAAACTTCTGGAGACTCAGCATGAACTTGCAGGAGAGTTAAAACTCTGGAGACTCAGTCTTGGGGTGGGGAGGACATTTTCATGAGTTTCACTTCCAGGAGTTTCTCTAGTGAAGATCAGGGAAAAGTCCCTCACACTTCAGTCAGGTGAGGGGAAAAAGTAACTATTTGAAATACAGTTGACCTTGAACAACACAGGTTTGAACTGCAAGGGTCCACTTATATACAGATTTTCTTCCTCCTTTACCACCCCTGAGACAGTAAGACCATCCCTTCTCTATTATCCCGTTCTCATACTGTTATAAAGAACTACCTGAGACTGGGTAATTTATGAAGAAGAGAGGTTTAATTGACTCACAGTTGCGCAGGCTGTACAGAAGCATGGCTGGAAGGCCTTAGGAAACTTAGTCATGGCGGAAGGTGAAGGGGAAGCAAGCACATCTCCCAAGAGTGAGGGGAGAAGTGACACACTTTAAAAACCACCAGATCTCAGGAGAAGTCACTCACTATCCTGAGAACAGCAAGGGGGAAATCTGCCCCCATGATCCAGTCACTTCCCACCAGGCCCCTCCTCCAACATCTGAGGATTACAGTTTGAGATGAGATTTGGGTGGGGACACAAACCATATCACCATTCTGTTCCCCCTCCTCGGTCTGCTAAACATGAAGACTTAGAGGATGAAGACTTTTATGATGATCCACTCCCAGTTTTCTTTCTATTATTATTATTTTTTTTTTGAGACAGGGTCTTTCTCTATTGCCCAGGCTGGAGTACAGTGGCACTGATCACAGCTCACTGCAGCCTTGACCTCCCAGCCTCAATCAATCCTCCTGCCTCAGCCTCCTGAGTAGCTGAGACTACAGGCACACACCATCACATACAGCTAATTTTTGTATTTTTTGCAGAGATAGGGTTTCACCATGTTGCCCAAGCTGGTCTTGAACTCCTGGGATCTAGCAATCTACCTGCCTTGGCCCCCCAAAGTGCTGGGATCACAGGTGTCAGCCACTGTACCCAGCAGTGATTTTCTTAATATTTTATCATCTCTATCTTACTTTATTGTAAGAATATAGCATATAATACATATAATGTACAAAATATTTGTTAATCAACTGTTTATGTTATCCTTCAGGCTTCCAGTCAACAGTAAGCTATTAGTAGTTAAGTTGTGGAGGAGTCAAAACTTATGCTTGAATTTTTGACTGTGCAGGGGGAAGGGGGGTGTCAGTGCCCCTAAGCAAGAATCAACTGTATGCCCAAGAGATTCTGTTCTCCTTAACAAAACCCTGCCCTCAAGGAAAACTACCTTACCAGAGCCCAGCCCCTTTGGGTTTTACCAGAGTCTAATCAACCTGAGGGAAGGGAAATACCCAACTCCAGCCCCATCTCACCTTCCTGTCTTGCCTGAAGGGGAGAGGGAGGGCAAAGGGGTGCTGAGAAGACAACCCGGGGGCACAGGCTCACTAAAAGGCCAAGGCCTAATCCTAAAGGGATAGAACACCTCCCCTCCCCGACACCTTCCCATCACATCAGCAGGAGATTACAGCTGAAAGAATTACAAGCCTCAGACCCTATTTAGGAAAAAGTCCCAGAGGAAACCCAAAGACAATAGGAGAGACAAAAATAAGAGTATCAGAGATTATTTTAACCTCTGACATGTCCAACTAGAAGCAAACAGCAAACAGCCACTTTCTAGCCAGAGTTTCATAAAACTGAAAGTCCCAGTTCCTACCTCAGTTCCTTGTACCTGATACATCATAACTGGGTATCATCAAAAAAATTACGAGGCATGTTAAAAAGCAAAAAACACAGTCAGAAAAGACAAATCAGTCTCCCCAAGCATTCGGGGAGCAGAGTTTTTAAGGACAACTTGGTGGGTGGGAGGAAGCCAGTGAGCCAGGAGTGCTGATTGGCCAGGGATGAAATCACAGGGAGTCGAAGCTCTCTTCTTGTGCTGAGTCAGTTTCCAGGTGGGGCCACAAGATCAGATGAGTCAGTTTACCAATCTTGGTGGTGCCAGCTGATCCATCAAGTGCCGGGTCTGCAGAATATCTCAAGCACTGATCTTAGGAGCAGCTTAGGGAGGGTCAGAATCTTGTAGTCTCCAGCTGCATGACTCCTAAACCATAATTTCTAATCTTGTGGCTAATGTTAGTTCTACAAAGGCAATCTAGTCCCCAGGCAAGAAGGAGATCTGCTTTGGGAAAGGGCTGTTATCATCTTTGTCTTAAACTACAAACTAAGTTTCTCCTAAAGTTAGTTCAGCCTTTGCCCAGGAACAAACAAGGACAGCTTGGAGGTTAGAAGCAAGAGGAAGTCGATTAAGTTAGATCTCTTTCACTGTCTGAGTCATAATTTTGCAAAGGCAGTTTCAGTTTTGGAGCTATTTATGAAATGCTGATGGTTGCCAACAATGGAACAATATTCTCTTCCTATGGACTTCATGATCTAAATTGTTAAGCTTTCTCAGAGGTGGATAACAGTACGGGAGAGGCCATAATGGCATTCAATTATATTTTTTAGAAAAAAATTAGCAGTCCAAAATTAACAGAAACAAATTTTGCTTTACCAATAATAAACAACATTTCCTTTACAGAAAACATTAAAGAAATACAAATGTCAAAATATGTTCAGGTACCTTCTAACAAATTTTCAACCGTTATTAATCACAGATTAATCATAGATTGTTATCACTCTGGTTTCCCCTGCAGTTTTAAAATAAACCTTTAACTCTTCCTCCTAATTACTGGTGCTTCATGGTTTGAAAACCTGAGCCTTGAAAATGTTCCTAGAAAGCTTTTTGAGATATAATTTTTAATTACATATTTTTTATCATAAATAGAATGGTTTTGTATACATCTAGAATGTATGTGAAGACATTAAGAAGACTTAAATCATCTGTTGTTATTGACTTTTGACAATCAGACATTCCTATTCAGTTAGGTGAGCTTAGTTCTTGACTACAACCTGGTCAGCTGCATTTTTCTGCAAGAAAGAGAAACTGGATTTCACTCCACAACGCTGTCTTTCTCCTGCAGCCTGGATTATGCTGGAAAAGTCACAATAGAGTCACGATGCATAACCATAGGCCTCATGCCTCCCTTTCTTATAAGAAGGCACCAAAGTTAACTTTTCAAAAGGTTAAAAATGTAATTTATGTATAAGGTAGAGAATGAATGCATGTCAAAAAATTTTTTTTCTACCCATTAATAAGAGAACTAGCAAGATGGCAAAACTGGCTCAAGGAACATTTGAGGAAATGGATATTTATAGGTATTTGAGAAAAGAATGTTAGTGACTACTATTTTTTTTTTTTTTTTTTTAGACAGAGCTCGCTTGCCACCCAGGTTAGAGTGCAGTGGCATGATCTCAGCTCAGTGCAACCTCCACCTTCCAGGTTCAAGTAATTCTCCTGCCTCAGCCTCCGAAGTAGTGGGGATTACAGGCATGTACCACCACATCCAGCTAATTTTTTGTATTTTTAGTAAAGACAGGGTTTCACCATGTTGGCCAGGCTGGTCTCAAACTCTTGACCTTAGGTGTTCCGCCCATCTTGACCTCCCAAAGTGCTGGGATTACAGGTGTAAGCCACTGCACCCAGGCAGTGACTACTATTTATAATGCAGTAACTTGGATGGGATCTTGGAACAGAGAAAGGACATTAGGAAATCTGAATAAAGTATGGGCTTTAGTTAATAATAATATATCAATGTTCGTCAGTTGTGACAAATGCACCATATTAACATAAGCTTAATAATAGGAAAAAGTGGGGATGAGGCAAGTAGCAACCCTCTGTACCATAAGAGTTAAAGAAAAAGGAAAGAAACATGAAACGTGCTTAACAGTCAAAGATAGGTTTATTTTTGTGGAAAAAAACCTGAGAGGGGCTTCTGGCCAATTTCAGTCAGGAGCACCCTCTCTTACAGACTAAGAGTATATATTGGTTTTAGGGTGAGGGGGTTTATCACAAGCTTGGAATATGTTCGTGTAGGGGAGAAGTTTATGGCAGGGTTGGAATGCCTCTGGGTGGAGGGGAGGTTATCTTTGGGGCTGACATCTTTCTGGCCAGTGGGAAGGTTGTCTCAGGGCTGGCACATCTCTGGTCAGGGAGGGATTTGGAATGTTTCTGGTCAGAGATGTCATTTGTGGTTTACAGTCATAGGCTGATCCCCTTTGGATTTAGGCAGTTTTTGATCAACGTGAACTTAAAATGACAGTGCTTGTCCAAGATGGCAATACTCCTGCTCTGTCATGTATTATCTTCACAAATTTTGTAAATCTAAAACTGTTTTAGATTTACAAAAAAAAAAAAAAAAAACTGCTTTAAAGTTTTAAAGATTTTATTTTTAAAAAAATGAAAAAAATGTTAGCATAAGAGCCCTAGGTTATACAAAACAAGTTAATATCCTGCAACGCACTAAAGCAGTAATTATAACCTTTTAGGTTATCTTTTCTACCAGACAGAATTGATTTGCATCACTGCCAGACAAATACCTCACGATAACATGTAACTTCACAGACCTCGGCCCTTTAATCATTAATAGATCGCGGGACAAACAAGAACATTGCCCTAAATATTTAAATAATCTTCAGATAGACCTATTCAACAATGCTCCAAAATGACATTGGAAGGACACGCCTTCCTCCTTGAGCCTTATTTCTAAGTTTTGAATATAAAATGAGCTTAAAAAAAATCTTCCAATAGTTTGCCTTCTGAATATATTTAGACATTCTAAAATAGCAGACAATTCAACTTTAACCTAACTTTTTCTACATAGTGAGATATTGCTGAAGCCTGGGGAGCAGGATTTTCAATAGGGGTGCCAGGTTTAGCAAATAAAAACAAAAGACGCTCTGGTAAATTCGGATTTCAGATAAAGAACAAATAATATAATGTAAATGTAATAAACAATAATTTTTAGTGTAAGTGGATCCCAAATATCACATGGCTTCATATTATTATTTCTTTGGGCTCGTCCAGTACTAATACTCTATGAAACATTTCCTTAGCAACAAATCACAAAGATAGCAGACACATTTTTTTCTACATGCACTTTGAATCCATTCATATTTTCAGCTTCTTATGTTCTCTACAAACACAAAACTATGTTTGAATACTGTACTCCATTTGCTTTGCTACATAAGCAATTTAAAATGTCACAGAGGATCTCAGCGTTGGATGATACAGGAAGACAATGAGATAGCTTTGTAGCCTTACAACACCTGGGGTTTGGCTCTTAGTGAGACAAAGGTAATCCCAATTATTCACCGTGTTCCTGATCTTCCCAAGGCAAGGACTTGAAAAACGCCCTATTATTTAGACTGACCTAATTCAAAGTTCTTTGCAGCTTACCTCGTGCTAATCACTGGCAAGTGGTCTCCAGCTGCTCTTTGGTTTTGGTTGTTTCACGTCCTTGATCCTACATGGTAGTGGGAAGATTTCCTGATCATTTTTAATAAATTAAATTTTACTTCAGTTTTTTTTCAGGCATAACTGAGAACCTATAACCATAACTGCATTTTACCCTTTCTGTGTTTAATAAGAGTGACAAAAACCATGATAGACATTTTTTCTACACTGAAAATAGAAGTTAAATGTGTATACTGTTCTCCAAAATAAAAGCATATCTCAGAAATTCACCTCATTCAGACCAATGGATTTGTGAACTCTTTTCTCACCTCTAGAACCTTCTTAAGTTGAGCCAATGAGAAAACAAGTTCAGTAGTCAGTGATGGATCCATCTCAGAGGAGCAGAAATCCACAGGCCTATTCTCCCCAGTGACTGACCACAGCTACATCAGCAGATCTGAACCACCGTCCCATTCTCCTCCTCTCCCGGGGCCATGCGCCTCAGACACTGGGAAAATGCAAAGTGTAGAGACCGTGATTTCAACTTTGAGTAGAGTAAAATAGTGCCCCTTCTAGAACTCAAGGTTCTTATTCCATTCCCATCTCAGGTGGTGGATCCTAATAAACCCAACTATCAGCATTTGTCTTTTTTCAGACTCTAAGTGAATTACTAAAGGATGTACTCAGGCAGAGAGAAAGTGACTCAAGACAGCTGGTCTGAAGAGTATGAAGGCATAAAGAACAAAGAAACAGATCATCTGTAGCTGATTGTCCATGAACATTGATTAAGTAATACTATGTAAATTGGTAATAATAATGTCTAATGAAATTCCCAAGGCTGGGTGTGGTTGCTCATGCCTCTAATCTCAGCACTTTGGGAGGCCAAGGTGAGCGGATCACTTGAGGTCAGAAGTTCGAGACCAAGCTGGCCAACATGGCAAAACCCCACCTCTACTAAAAATACAAAAATTAGCTGGGCACCCAACTCGTGGCAACCATGAGTTCTAACAAATTGTCAAGAAAGAATATTTGTGGTATTACACAAACTCTTCTAGAGATTTATAAATGAGGAAGGGGACACAATCCCCAACTCTAAATAATTTTTTATGACACTAGCATAACCTCAACATAAAACTCAGTGAAGATAGTGCAAGAAAGGAAAGTTTGATGCCAATTTCATTCTTGAACATAGATACAAAAATCCTGAAAAACAAAATTAGACTGAATTCATTAATATATTAAAAATATGTAAATATGGCCAGGCACGGTGGCTCATGACTGTAGTCCCAGCTACTCGGGAGGCTGAGGTGGGAAGATCAATTGAGCCCCAGAGTTCAAGGCTGCAGTGAGCTGTGATCATACCACTGCACTCCAGCTCGGGCAACAGAACAAAACTCTGTCTCAAAATAAAATGAGAAAAGATAAAATACATAAATATATAAAAATCAAACTGGGTTTATCCCAGGAATTGAAGGTTGATTTAACATTGCAAAATTAATTCATATAAACACTAACAGATTAAAGAAGAAAAATGTCAATAAATAAATACAGAAAAACAGCTTTGATCAAAATCAAAATTAATCTCTCTTCTTTTTTTTTTTTTTCTTTTTTAGACAGTCTCACTCTGTTATACAGGCTAGAGTGCAGTGGCACAATCTCGGCTCACTGCAACCTTCACCTCCCAGGCTCAAGCGATCCTCCCACCTCAGCCTCTCAAATAGCTGGGATTACAGGTGTAGGCCACCACACCTGGCTAATTTTTGTATTTTTAGTAGTCATGGGGTTTCACCATGTTAGCCAGGCTGGTCTCCAACTCCTGGCCTCAAGTGATCTCCCTGCCTTGGCCTCCCAAAATGTTGGAATTACAGGCTGCTGTGCTGGACCAAAATTAATCTCTATGCTTAAAATCCATAGCAAATTGGGAATAGAGTAAACATTAATGTGATAAGGACATCTACAAAAAAATGTACAGTAAATATCATGCTTACAGTTGAAACACTTATAGGCTTTGGGATCAGCATATAACAAGGCTGCTTGTTATCAACTCTTCTAATCAACTCTCTACTGGACATTCTAGCTAACATGATAAAGAAAGAAAAAGAAATTGAAAAGAAAGGGAAAACTTTCAGAAGATTTACACTAAAACTATGTACTTAAGTCCAAATTTACCCACTGATTAGTTATTAAACTTAATAGCAGAATTTATCTCTTTGGCTTGACACAAAATCAACATATCAAAATGAATTGTAGTCCAACTTATAAGTAGCAAATAATCAGAAAATTAAATTTTAGAGACATCACTTATAATAACATCAAAAACTATGACATTTCCAGATATGAAGATGTGTAAGACCTCTACAGAGAAAATTAAGTTTGTTTTGGGAGACATTGAAAAAGATTTTTTAAAATGCAGAGATACACTGTGTTCAAGAATTGTTAAGACTTAGTATTCCAGTTTAATCACTAAATTGATTGATAGATTTTATGTAATTCTAAACGAAGTCACAGCAGCTTTTTGCTTTTGAAAAAACTGACAAACTGATCCTAAAATGTATGTGTAAATGCAAACGTCCAAGAATAGCCAATTCATTCCTTAAGATGTAGGAAAGAAACATGGAAAGATTTGCTTTTATCGTCTTTCCAAACATATTACAAAGCTTTAAGAATTAAGCCAGTATAGCATTGTCTCAGAGACAAACACACTAATAAAACAGATCAGAAGGCAGAAACAGACCCCCATACTTATAGAGACTTGATAATGTAACTGCCCAATGGGTTCACCTCGCCCACTGCCTAGACAGAGCCAACTTATCAAGACAGGGGAATTGCAATAGAGGAAGTGTAATTCACTCAGAGCCAGCTGTGTGGGAGACCGGAGTTTTGTTATTACTCAAATCAGTCTCCCTGAGAATTCAGGGAGCAGAGTTTTTAAGGACAACTTGGTGGGTGGGAGGAAGCCAGAAGCCAGTGAGCCAGGAGTGCTAATTGGTTAGGTAGGAGATGAAATCATGGGAAGTTGAAGCTGTCCTCTTGCACTGAGTCAGTTCCTGGGTGGGGCCCACAAAATCAGATGGGCCAATTTATCAATCTGGGTGGTGCCAGCTGACCCATCAAGTGTAGAGTCTGCAAAATATCTCAAGCACTGATCTTAGGAGCAGTTTAGGGAGGGTCAGAATCTTGTAGTCTCCAGCAGCATGACTCCTAAACCATAAGTTCTAATCTTGTGGCTAATTTGTTAGTCCTACAAAGGCAGTCTAGTTCCCAGGCAAGAAGGAGGTTTGTTTTGGGAAAGGGCTGTTATCATCTTTGTTTTAAACTATAAACTAAGTTTCTCCCAAAGTTAGTTCAGCCTATGCCCAGGAAGGAATGAGGACAGCCTAAAGGTTAGAACCAAGATGGAGCTGGTCATGTTAGATCTCTTTCGCTGTGTCAGTCATAATTTTATAAAGGTGTTTTCAATCAGGGACAGAGGCGGAACGGCAGACAGGAAAAAAAGAAGGATTTTTCAATAGATAATCCTGGGGCAACTGGACCCCTATATAAAGATAGATTGCATACCAAAATCAATTCAAAAGGAAATAAAGACCTAAAGATGAAGAGAAAAACTATAAAACTTCTAAAATATAACATAGAAGAATGTCTTTATTACTGCTAAGTGAAGTTAAACTAAAAGATAAAAACAAACACAAAATCAAAACAGCTGGGAAGATGTCTTCATTGCTTGTACGTGTGTACACCAGCTAGTTAAGTCACTGTATGGAGGGCATGACCAGTTTAACTACCATCCCCGGCATTGCAAAACACCAGAAAAATATTTCTGGGGCCAGGTGCGGTGGCTCATTCCTGTAATCCTAGCACCTTAGGAGGCCGAGGAGGGTGGATTGCTTGAGGCCAGGGTTTCGAGACCAGCCTGGCCAACACGGTGAAACCTCGTCTCTACAAAAAATACAAAAATTAGCCAGGCGTGGTAGGGTACGCCTGTAGCCCCAGCTACTCTGGAGGCTGAGGCAGGAGAATCACTTGAACCCAGGAGGCAGAGGTTGCAGTGAGCTGAGATCACGCCACTGCACTCCAGCCTGGGTGACAGAGCGAGACTGTCTCAAAAAAAATCTGAAAGTGAATTAATCACATATTCATATGAGTTCTGATACAGGAGTTAAAAAGAAATTACTTAGGCAGATAGTGAGGATACGGGATTCCTTGCTAAGGTTTTCCTTTTAATAAAAAGCAGCCCCCCAAATCATTTACTTTTCTAACAAAGAGCACCCTGTAAAATCGAGCTGCAAACATAGGCAAGCAAGCTGGAAGCTTGCACAGGTGAATGCCAGCAGTTGTGCCAATGGAAAAGGCTACCTGGGACTAGGCATGTTCAAAACGGCAGCTCCATCGTCTCTTTGTGCCAGCCACGTGTACAGTATGGCGCAGACAAGATGGCGCTGGCTGAGTGGAAAGTCCATCTGCAAAGTAAGATGAGGGTGGGGCAACCAGCCTTCCCTGCCACAATGTAAATGTCACACCTGGTTGAACCAATCTGGGGGCCCTATGTAAATCAGACACTGCCTCCTCAAGCCTGCCTATAAAATCTGCTGCGTCCACCACAGACCAGCTTTTCCCTTTCAGATGCGGAGAGAGACAGAGAGAGCGAGAGAAAGAATGAACTTCCTTAAAGTAGGACCTATATTTATTCAATTAGGACATATTCCGTTAATATATGCTCATAGAAATATTTTTGAACTGAAAGAGAAAAATCTGTTTCTGAAATATTTCTAATCTAACAATATTTATAATTACATTGTGATTACATAAATTAGAATTTAGGATTGCCTATACTTGCTTACCTGGTCTATTTTTCCAATATTTCTGAATAACTACATAACAAAATTTAACAGATACGACATGCGTGGTTCTCTGTGGAAAAAAAAACTATAAATTTGCTTCAAAATTCATGTACTGAGGAACAAACTTGAATGTTTACTTTTTTTAGGTTTTTAAAATACAGACTAACATAACTGCCAAATAATTTAGACAGAGTTATATTTATACTTCCACATTTCTCCCCTATAATTCATTCTCCTTTGCTTCCCCAGAGAAAGGGGGACGTGTAAGAATATTTATATTCAGCCCTCACTTTGTTGTAAAATCAAAGACCTAAGTAAATAGAGAGGAATTCTGCTTTAAGCTGTGAGAGATCTGTTATCATAATCAGAAGGTAAAAGTAATTTACCAAAGATAAGCATTCAAGCCCTAAATTTTTATCAAGAACAGAAATGTTTCTTAAAGCATGAAGTGTTTTACTAAGTTTTATACAGTTAGGAAAATGCCAATAAAATTTTCACTACCTGTTTTCGTAATAAAATGAATACTGCTGTATTTCATTTTCTGAATTCTGCCTTCATTTTCTTCAGTAAAACTGAAAATTGCACTTAGGAACAGACACACCTGAAAATATATTCAACTGTATTTATCTCACCTTTCAAGGTGAAATTCCAGATTTTAAAATTGTAGTTATCTCAGATGATTACCAGAATGCGATGTAATGATATCTTGCATTTATGATTATTGATGCACCTTTTTATAGATTCATTTTAATGTTGAACTACTTATTTTATATGCATTGATGAGCATAACTGTAATTAGTTGCCTAGTTTGGTAAATGAGTACCTGGGATAATTTATGAGTGCTTCTAATTTTTTTTTCTTTATGTCTTCTAAAAAAAAATGGGATACATGTGCAGAAGGTGCAGGTTTGTTACATAGGCATACGTGTGCCATGGTGGTTTGCTGCACCTATTGACCTGTCCTCTAAGTTCCTTCCCATCACCCCCCACCCCCAACAGGCCCTAGTGTAAGTTGTTCCCCTCTCTGTGCCCATATGTTCTCAATGTTCAACTCCCACTTATGAGTGAGAACATGAGGTGTTTGGTTTTCTGTTCCTGTGTTAGTTTGCTGAGGTTGATGGCTTCCAGCTTCATCCATGTACCTGCAAAGGACATGATCTCATTCCTTTTCATGGCTGCATAGTATTCCATGGTGTATATGTGCCATATGGTTCCATGTCTTTGCTATTGTAAATAGTGCTGCAAGAAACATATGTGTGCATGTGTCTTTATAGTAGAATGATTTATATTCCTTTGGGTATATACCCAGTAATGGGATTGCTGGGTCAAATGGTATTTCTGGTTCTACATCCTTGAGGAACCACCATACTGTCTTCCACAATGGTTGAACTAATTTACATTCCCACCAACAGTGTAAAAGAGTTCCTATTTCTCCACATCCTCTCCAGCATCTGTTGTTTCCTGACTTTTTAATAATCGCCATTCTGACTGGCATGAGATGGTATCTCATTGTGGTTTTGATTTGCATTTCTCTGATGATCAGTGATGTTGAGCTTTTTTTCATATGTTTGTTGACTGCAGAAATGTCTTCTTTTGAGAAGTGTCTGTTCATATTCTTTGCCCACTTTTTGATGGGGTTGTTCGTTTTTTCTTGTAAATATGTTTAAGCTCCTAGTAAATTCTGGATATTAGACCTTTGTCAGATGGGTAGATTGCAAACATTTTCTCCCATTCTGTAGGTTGCCTATTCACTCTAATGATAGTTTCTTTGGCTGTGCAGAAGCTCTTTAGTTTAATTAGATCCCATTTGTCAATTTTGGTTTGAGTGCTTCTAATTTTTAGTTCAGGCTTGACATTTTGATATTGACTTGAGTACTTTATATACCTTGCTGGATATTTTTGATAATTCACACTTACAATGAAGAATATAACTACAGAAACTTATAAGCATAAAGTTAAGCCTGGAATTTATTCATTCAATATTTATTTTTTTGAAATATAATGAGCTTCTGCTGTTTAAAAAGGACTCTCCAACCTGAAAAGCAATTTCTAAAGATATTTATTTTCTTCAAGTCAACTGTATTAGCTATGAATTAGAAACCTAATTTATTTTAAAACTTGAAGCTCTATTTTTAAATCTGGCTATTTTATTTATAAACCTAACTAATTTTTTATGAAAAAGAACAGCCACTTCTTTTTGTCCCTTTATTAATATTTCGATGAACTCTTACCTGACCAAATCATCTTTAAATGTTTAACATGACTTAGAAAATTAAATTCCCTTAGACACTTAAACTCTGATTACAAAATTAACACATCTGGTTCTCTCACTTCAAACACCTAAGAAAATGTCTTAGCTTAAGTTATCTACCCCCGTTGTGTAGCAGTAAGCCTGCCTTCTCATGACAACCTGTCACCTGTCAGCATACTGGCTCCCTCATTGCCTGCTGTCCACTGCCAGGAGGAGACCAAATGACCTGGCCAGTTGGCATCGACAGCTTTAGGTATGGTGGAAACCATATTGTATTCCCTATTGAAAGTGTCCAGACAAGAATTCATGTAAAAGTGGGCTGGGCGCGGTGGCTCACACCTATAATCCCAGCACTTCGGGAGGCCAAGGCAGGCAGATCACTTGAAGTCAGGAGTTTGAGACGAGCCTGGCCAATATGGTGAAACCCCATCTCTATTAAAAATACAAAAATTAGCCAGGCCTGGTGTAATCCCAGCTACTCGGGATACTGAGGCAGGAGAATCACTTGAAGCTGGAAGGTGGAGATTGGAGAATCACTTGAACCTGGAAGGCAGAGATTGCAGTGAGCTGAGATCACACCACTGCACTCCAGCCTGGGCAACACAGCCGGACTCCATCTCAAAATAATAATAATAATGGTAATAATTCATGTAAAAGTAATTTATTAGGAAAAAATGGTAAAGGAATGGAGAATTAGGGATAGGAAGGCGAGGAGGCCAAGTAAGGGTAACAATGTCAAAGTCGCATATAGAGTACCTTCAACTCAATCCCAGAGAGAGCTCTGGAGACAACATAGGTCACACTTGAGAACTGTCCTAATTAGCAGCAAAAGAGCAGAGAATTTATACCCCAGTAGCCATCAACTATTGGCCAAGGGCGGCCCCAAGGGAATATACGTTCTCAGGCATTTCCAGCTCTGGCCGCTGGAGGGCAGCCCTCCAACAAAGAGATGTGGCTCCTGACTGTTGGGAGAGAAAACCCTCAGGAACTAGTGTGCCCAAAAATGGTTCAAGGTCACAGGGGACATGGGTAGAGTACTGCCCACCCATTGTACCAGCCAGATCCATTTGTGCCTGTCAAGGTAATCCTCTGCGACAGGGGCTAGTCACAATTTCTAGAAGAAAAAGCTTTGAAGAGAAAGATGAGTGGAACAAGTTTCTACTGGTTGGTCCTCAGACTGTAACTGATTTTCACCTTTCTCCTCTACTCTCCATTCTAAATTTCCCTCATTCTAGGCCAGTATTTGTCTGATGGGTCATCTCTGAGGAGCCTGCACCCCTAGTTGTCACCCCCTGGTCACACTGTAGTTGCTGTAATTGTCTATTCACTGTTATAAGTGCAGAACAGTCTAAGAGGTGGCATGTGGGTTGTATTTTTGTTTTGTTTTCTGAGATGCAGTTTCACTCTTGTCACCCAGACTGGAGTGCAATGGCGCGATCTTGGCTCACTGCAACCTCCACCTCCCGAGTTCAAGAGATTCTTCTGCCTCAGCCTCCTGAGCAGCTGGGACTACAGGCACCCACCACCATACACGGCTAATTTTTGTATTTTTAGTAAAGACAGAGTTTCACCATGTTGGGCAGGCTAGTTTCAAACTCCTGACCTCAGGTGATCCACCCACCTCAGCCTCCCAAAGTTCTGGGATTACAGGCGTGAGCCATGGCGCCCAGCCGAGGTGCCCTAGTGGGTTCTAAACATGCACCTCTCTGCCCCCATCATGTAGCAGTAAGCCTGTCTCTTCATGACAACCTGTCACCTATCAGCGCACTGACTTCCTCATTGCCTGCTGTCCACTGCCAGGAGGAGACCAAATGACCCCACCAGTTGGCACCTACAGCTTTAGGTACTATGGAAACTGTATTGTATTCCCTATTGAAAGTGTCCTCCCTGCAAACCCTCAACAACCCAGCAGACATAAAGTTACAAGTATAGGAAGCCTGCATTTCCCAAGTGGGTCCCTGAAGGTGATAGTGAGAAGGGCCACTCCTACTTCTAGGCGTTGGTTCCCAGATGTCCATGTGCTACCCCTCAGGGGCAGAGCACATGTGATGATGGTTGGTTCCAAGGTATGTACTGTTCCCTAAAGGACAGTAAGCCAACCCCAGAGGTGTCCTCTCAAGCTGGGGGCTCAGATGTGCTTTTACCAGCCTGGGCAATACAGCAAGACCTTGTCTCTATTTTATTTATCTATTTTTTTTTTTTTTGAGATGGAGTTTTGCTCTTGTCACCCAGTCTGGAGTGCAGTGGCATGACCTCAGCTCACTGCAACCTCCACCTCCCAGGTTCAAGCAATTCTCCTGCCTCAGCCTCCCGAGTAGCTGGGGTAACAGGTGCCCGTCACCATGCCTGGCTTATTTTTGTATTTTTAGTAGAGATGGGGTTTCACCATGTTGGCCAGCCTGGTCTCGAACTCCTGACCTCAGGCAATCCACCTGCCTCAGCCTCCCAAAGTGCTGGGATTACAGGAGTGAGCCACCGTACCTGGCCTCTACTTTAAAAAAAAAATAAAAATTCACCAGGTGCAGTGGCATGTGTCTGTAGTACGAGCTTCTCAGGAGGCTGAGGCGAGAAGATCACCTGAACCCAGGAGTTTGCAATTGCAGTGAGCTATGGCCTCACTGCACTCAGGCCTGGACGACAGAGGGAGACCCTGTCTCCAAAAAAAAAAAAAAAAGATACGCTTTTGTTAGCACAATTCTCTAACCAACTGAGCTAACCAGCCCCTCTAAGATATGCTTTTAAAAGGACACTCCAATATTCTTCCAGGTCAGGAGCTGGACCTGGCTCAAGGATGGTTTAGCTAAAAATGGACGGCTACTGTGCTAGAACCCAACTTGAAAGTGACCTTGAGAAGGGGCGGTGAGGGGAAAGCCTTCCAGTGTGCAGAACTTTCGCTCGGTATGGAGGGAAATGTGCCCCAAGGACAGGATACGAATATACATGGACTTGGCTGGGGGGTGAGGAGCATGGGAGGACGAAGACTGGCTGATGGGGGAAAAGCAGTCTGAGAAAGACTTGTGACATGAGAGGGGCGTAGCCAGTGGATCCCTTGGTGATGTGTCCACTGTTGCACCTACTTAGCTATGAAGTGAGCCCCATCATGCAAGGCAGCGTTTTGCAAGATCTCCTGTCAATAAATTGGGCATTTTGTGTGCCCTTAGATAGTAGTGGCAAAAAATTTAAACCCGTATCTGGAAGCTATACCAATTCTGGTCACAAAGAAATCACTGCCACATATTTCTAGGGTGGAAAGTCTCTAACATAATCGACTTGCTGCCAAGTGCCTAAGTGGTCTCAAGAGATTGTACCATGTTGGCTAGGCGCGGTGGCTCACGCCTGTAATCCCAACACTTTAGGAGGCTGAGGCGGGCAGATCACATGAGGTCAGGAATCTGACACCAGCCTGGCTGATATGGTGAAACCCCGTTTCTACTAAAAATACAAAAATGAGCCGGGTGTGGTGGCAGTTACCTGTAATCCCAGCTACTTGGGAGGCTGAGGCAGAATTGCTTGAACCAAGAAGGCGGAGGTTGCAGTGAGCTGAGATCATGCCACTGCACTCCAGCCTGGGAAACAAAGGGAGACTCCATCTCGAAAAAAAAAAAAAAAAAAAAAGAAAGAGGTTGTACCATGTCATGGAGCCCAGTATTAGTGTCTGCTACTGACAGGCAGAGCAGGAGTCAAATTAGCCTTAGTGATCCAATGCTGTCAGGCACATTCACAACCTCTACCTCTCCCACCAAAGTTATTCCCCTGGTGGGCCCATGGTGTGAACACTGGGCTGGCTGAGGACGGCGGCTGGCTGACATCAAGGTGAGTCGTGCTGACCATCTGCTTATCCAGTGCCTCCTCTAAAGTGGATGTTCCTGGCTGGGCCTCGATGAAGATACCAAAAGTCTCACACACTGGGTGACTCCCCTAGGTCCACCCGCAGGCCTCTTTCCCAAACTCCTTTGCAGATCACTTCTTCCAGGGTCCTGACAAACCAGGCAAGCCTTAGCCACTGCTCAGGAGGCCAAGCGCATCCTTACCTGGGGCACTTTTCTCCACGTGAAGGAGAAGCTCTGTGGAGAGAGTTTGCGCTCACCATAAACTTCAGGGCCACTTCTGAGTCAGGCAGTCCTGCAGTAGAAGTCCAACCTTCCACAAACCAGGCCCAGATTGTTTCCTCCATCAGTTGGTCATAGGGAGCACCCCACAGGGCCATGGACAGAAGCTTGGGAGAAGAATGGATGCAAGGGCACTGAATGACATGGGGTCTGGACCGCCTCTTTGTGTAACTTACTTTTGCCCCAGACATGCTTAGGCTCCATCCTGGATGCAGCACTTTTACGTTATCCTAGATCGCTCTTTGCTCATGTCACTTTATGGCAGCACCATAGCAGCCAACGCGTGATAGGCACTCTGGTCATATGTTGGTTGATATCCATAGTCAAAATATATTTCGTGCCTGTATTAGTTCGTTTTCACGCTGCTGATAAAGACAGACCTGAGACTGGGTACTTTATAAAGGAAAGAGATTTAATGGACTCACAGTTCCACATAGCTGGGGAGGCCTCACAATCATGGCGGAAGATGATGGAAGAGCGAAGGGACGTCTTCAATGAGGCAGGCAAGAGATTTTGTGCAGGGAAACTCCCCTTTATGAAACCATCAGATCTCATGAGGCTTATTCACCATCACAAGAACAGCCTGGGAAAAACCCACCCCCGTGATTCAATTACCTCCCACCAGGTTCTTCCCATGACATATGGGGATGGATGATCACAATTCAAGGTGAGATTTGGGTGGGGACACAGAGCCAAACAATACCAGTGCCCAACAGCATAAGAAGAGCTTTTTCCAATGATGTATAGTTTTCCTCCCCAGGTGGCATGGCCTTGTTCAGAATTTTGGAGTCTATATTGACATGCTTTTAATGGGGTTTGCTAGAGATGGTATCTTTATCAAGCATGGATTCCTCTAGCACCGTGGGATCTGCTGAGCCATATGGCCCCAGTAGCAGGGCCATTTGTTCCACAGCTTGGACCTGCTGCTAAGCCCCCTCTTGCTCTGGGACCCACTCAGAAGTAACTACCCTCCATATGCAGGTACTTGCTGGGTGTCAGAGAGAAAATTGCTGCCACTAGTAAGCCTGAAATTGGAAAAAGGATCCAAGAGCAATGACAGCATCTGCCACAGAAGGCAAAAATTCTGCACTCTTTTAAGTGATTTTTATAAGTCATAATAGTAAATTTAGTAAATCAAGTTTTCTTAAATGTTGCAATGATTGTCTAAATACGAGAGAATACTCAAAGAATTCAAGATTACAGATTATTACCACACCCATATAAACACACCTAAACTGAATGCAGTGACTCACACCTGTACTCCCAGCACTTTGGGAGAGTGAGGTAGAAGGATCACTTGAGGCCAGGAGTTCAAGACCAACCTGGGCAACCTAGTGAGACCCCCCAACTTCTACAAAAATAAAAATTAAAAAATTAGCCAGTCTCTCTTCCTCGGTGCCGCCTACGGAGGTGACAACCATCTACTTGACATGATGGCTGACCTCAGACCCCTCATGAAGCCCAAGATTGTCAAAAAGAGGACCAAGAAGTTCATCTGGCACCAGTCAGATCGATGTGTCAAAATTAAGTGTAACTGGTGGAAACCCAGCAGTATTGGCAACAGGGTTTGGAGAACATTCAAGGGCCAGATATTGATGCCCAACACTGGTTATGGGAACAAAAAAACAAAGCACATGCCGCCCAGTGGCTTCTGGAAGTTCCTGGTCCACAATGTCAAGGAGCTGGAAGTGCCACTGACGTGCAGCAAATCTCCCTGTGCGGAGATCGCTCACAGTGTTTCCTCCAAGAACCACAAAGCCATATGGAAAGGGCAGCCCAGCTGCCCTCAGAGTCACCAACCCCAATGCCAGGCTGCGCAGCAAAGAAAATGAATACACAGCTCATGTGCATATTTTATTTATGCTTAAATAAAACCATTAAAACTGCCAAAAATTTAGCCAAGTATGGTGACACGTGCCTGTAGCCCTAGCTACCCGGGAGGCTGAGGCGTGAAGATTGCTGGAGCCCAGGAGTTTGAAGGCTGCAGTGAGCTATGATTGTGCCACTGCACTCCAGCATGAGTGATACAGTGAGATCCCATCTCTAAAAATAAATTAAAATAAGATAAAATCATAACAAATAAACACACCTTAAAATGTGAATTATTTCTTCATCATCTGTATTAGGATTCTCTTAAAAGGACAGAACTAATAGGATATAATAGGAGATATACATATATATTATATATATATAGGAGTTTATTAAGTATTAACTTACATGATCACAAGGTCCCACAATAGGCTGTCTGCAAGCTGAGGAGCAACGAGAGACAGTCTGAGTCCCAAAACTGAAGAACTTGGAGTCTGATGTTCGAGGGCAGGAAGCATCAGCACGGGAGAAAGACGTGGGCTGAGAAGCTAGGCCAGTCTCTCCTTTTCACGTTTTTCTGCCTGCTTTATATTCTCTGGAAACTGATTAGATTATGCCACCAGATTAAGGGCTGCCTTTCCCAGCCCCCTGACTCCAATGTTAACCTCCTCTGGCAACACCCACACAGACACACCCAGGATCAATACTTTGTATCCCTCAATCCAATCAAGTTGACACTCAGTTTTAAACATCACATCATCTCTCTACTTTTTAAAAAATATCTTCCTGGGGAAATGATTTTAAGGAGGTTAATTGATTGAAAATTCAGAATCAAAGAATTTCCAGACCACTGGGGGCACCGCTCCTCAGGATGTTTAACAAAATGCTCCCCAGAAACTATTGAGATGAAACCCACTGAATGGCCATCATTGATTTGACAGGTCAATGGAGTTTTTCTAGCTCTATTTCCATCAACAAGGTTTTAAGCAATCCCGTAAGTTTCAATTTCTTGAAACTCAATTCCTTTCCCCTAAATGACCTATGTGTTAAAATAAATGTGGACATTTTAAAGTCCCTGGGTTTCACTTCATCTTGTGGATAAAACCTTATTGTGTAACCTCCTGAAATGCAGTCTGGTGTATACTGGTAGAAAATGCACGCCTTCATCAGTCCCTATTCCACCCCCTTGCTTTTTTATCTTTTTCTTCATCTCATTGACCACCTTTTTTTTGAGATGGAGCCTCACTCTGTTGCCAGGCGGGAGTGCAGTGGTGTGATCTTGGTTCACTGCAACCTCTGCCTCCCGCGTTCAAGCAATTCTCCTGCCTCAGCCTCCTGAGTAGCTGGGACTACAGGTGCCCGCCACCACGCCCAGCTAATTTTTTTTTTTGTATTTTAGTAGAGATGGGGTTTCACCATGTTGGCCAGGATGATCTCGAGCTCTTGACCTCGTGATCTGCCTGCCTCAGCCTCCCAAAGTGCTGGGATTACAGGCATGAGCCACCACACCCAGCCTGACCACCATTTTTAATTACTGTGTGTGTGTGTTTTTTTTTTTTAGACATGAATTTTGGTTTTTAATTTTTTTAATTTATTTTTTAATCTTTTATTTCCAAAGATTATTGGGGAGCAGGTGGTGCTTGGTTACATGATTAAGTTCTTTAGTGGTGATCTGTGAGATTTTGGTGCACCCATAACCTGATGAATCACTGTTTTAATGAAGAGGAATAAAACCTACACACGTCATTCTGCCATGATGCCTCATACCACCTGAAAGAGTATACAGTCACACATGGAACATACACAGTCACTAACCTAACTGGAGAATGGTACAAAATACAATCGTTACAGGTCGTGCTAGGAATATTTCGAGCATATGGACAGCCTGTCTTCCTGGGATAGGTACCTGGAAGTCCCTGAGGCCTTATCTCCCTTCCTCTTTCCTTCTCCATCACTCTTCTCTCCACAGTACCAAGTTCATCTTGCTGGAGCCGCTAGGGCTCAGGCTGGTAAGCGCGCTTTTCACCCTGTGAGAAAGGCCTCTTCACGCAAGGTCCTGGCATGCTGCCTCTTGTGTTCAAGGTCAGCAGGGCTCATCCACTTTGGTCCTCTGTACTTCAAAGGGAAGCATTTGAAAATTAGTTTTGTTTTATTTTATTTTGAGATGGAGTCTCACTCTGTCGCCCAGGCTGGATGGAGTGCCGTAGCACGATCTCGGCTCACTGCAACCTCTGCCTCCCGGGTTCACGCCATTCTCCTGCCTCAGCCTCCCGAGTAGCTGGGACTACAGGCGCCTGCCACCACGCCCGGCTAATTTTTTGTATTTTTAGTAGAGACGGGGTTTCACCACGTTAGCTAGGATGGTCTAGATCTCCTGACCTCGTGATCTGCCCGCCTCGGCCTTCCAAAGTGCAGGGATTACAGGCATGAGCCACCGCACCTGGCCTCTTATTTTTTTGAGACAGAGTCTTGCTCTTGTCACCCAGGCTGGAGTGCAGTGGCATGATCTCAGTTCACTGTAACCTTCACCTCCTGGGTTCAAGCAATTCTCCTGCCTTAGCCTCCCAGAGAGTTGGGACTACAAATGAGCGCCACCATGCCCAGCTAATTTTTGTATTTTTAGTAGAGACAGGGTTTTGCCATGTTGGCCGGGCTGGTCTCAAACTCCTGACCTCAAGTGATCCACCCACCTTAGCCTCCCAAAGTGCTGGGATTAAAGGCTGAAAATTATTTTTAATGCAATTTTTATGCAGATGATATATGCTGCCTGGAGCAAGGAAGGGAAGAAATAAAGGATGAAAGGAACACCAAGAACCCCAGATCTTTCCCTACATTTTTCCCTCCAGCAAGGATCTCATTACTCCCAAAGCACTCTTAACCTACCCCACCATGACACAGGGGCTCACCAGTTCCTCTGCCTCTCCACCGCGATCATTCTACAGGTGATCCAGATTCACAGTGGAAGAATCAAAAACGAAAACTAAGACTGTAGCTCCAATATTGCTAGGTCTCACCTCTAAGTGTATTAAATATTCTCAGAAAGGGCTGGGTGCAGTGGCTTATAACTGCAATTTCAGCACTTTGGGAGCCCAAGGCAGGAGGATCGCTTGAGCCCAGGAGTTTGAGACCAGCCTGGGCAAAACAGTGAGACCCTATCTCTCCAAAAAAAAAAAAAAAAAAAAGCCAGGTGTAGTGGTATATGCCTGCAATTCTAGCTACTCAGGAGGCTGAGGTGGGAGGATTGCTTGAGCCTAGGAGGTTGAAGTAGCAGTGAGCTATGATGTGGCACCACTGCACTCCAACCTGGGCAACAGAGTGAGACCCTGTCAAAAGAAATAAAAGAAAAGAAAGAAAGAAAAGAGAGAAAGAGAGGAAGGAAAGAAGGGAGGGAAGGAGGGAAGAAAGAAAGAAAAGAATGAACTTCTAGCTCTTGTAGGTAGCCTAAATTAAATTTATGGACTGTTCCTATAATATTCGTTACTGATTCAGGAACTGTCTCCAATCTGAAACTCCTTGAAGAAACCTAGAACCTATTTTCAGCCTTCTCACCCCAGTCAACTCTGTCTGTTCCTCCCTGGCACAATGTAAAACACTTAGCTGTGTAATCCAAGTGTTGACTGGCCTCGCTGCCTGAAATATAATGAGAATGAGATAACATCAGCTTTAAAAAAAACTGTTGTAAAATATACATGCACAAATGTACCATCTTTATCGTATTTATGTGTCCAGTTCAATCACTTTCAGTAGAAACACATTGTTGTGCAGACATCACCACCATCCATCTTCAGAGCTCTTGCAAAACTGAAACTCTGTATACATTAAACAAGAATTCCTCATTTCCCCCTTCCACCAGCCCGTGGTAACCACTGTTCTACTTTCTGAATTTGACTACTCTACATACCCCTTATAAGTACAATCATAAAACATTTTGTGGGGTTTTTTGTGGTTGGCTTATTTCATTTAGCATAACGTCCTAAAAATTCATCCATGTTGTAGCATGTGGTAGAATTTCCTTCATTTTTAAAGCTGAATAATCTCCCATTGTATGGCTAGAACACATTTTGTTTATTTATTCATCTGTGTGTGAACACTTGCATTGCTTCTACCTTTTGGTTATTGTCCATAATGCTGATTTGAACATGGGTATAAACATTAGCTTTTAATGCCCAAATTATTATGACATCCAGAGCCTCTTAACTAGATGCCTTTCCCAGGTATTTCTGAGGATCTACAAATAAAATGACATGCTCCACACATCCGTCCGGTGGAAAGCTTGCGGCCTTTGGTGGTATCAGTCCTCAGACTGCCGCTGTCCACCTCCCCGCTGCAGATGACTTCCTGTAGGGTCTGCATCAGCTTCTGAAGCTGTTGCTGTTCTCACACAGTGCGCTTTAGTCAAGCATGGGCAAGGACCCCTCATGAACTTCCCATGGTGATAGATGAGACATAGCTTATACATTTAATAAGATAGCTTTAGAAGAAAATGACAGAAACTCCAATCGAAACTGACTCCAGCCAAAAAGAGAGAGTTCTTCAGTTCACAAAGCTGAAAAAGTACAGGCATATTCTTAATTTGGGCATGGCTGGATTCAGAGGCTCAGGTCTTCAGTCTGAAGATATGGCTTCAGGTCTTCACTCTGAAGACATGGCTGCACGTCTTCAGGATTCAAGTTCTCTTTCTTGGCTCTGTTGCGCTCTGTGTACTTTATTCTCCAAGTGGTGGTCCCCGGAAGCTCTAGGCTTGTTCCTTCCAAAGGTAAGAGGATGACTCTCCCCGACAGTCCTAGCAAGACCCAAGCCTGGCTCTGATTGGCCCAGCTGGGGTCACATGCTCAGCCATGAACCAGTCACCATGGCCAGCGGTGCACAGTACTCACATCGGCCAGCTCTGTTGTCACTAGTGTACCCACAAAGCCATGGGATGGGGCCAGCCCTGTCTGAAACCCATGGGACGAGTGGGGAATCCAATCTTCCCCAGGAAAATTGAAGGTGCTATTACCAAAAAAGGGTGAGTTGAACATTAGGAGGGCAAAAACAAATGTCCACTACTCTTGGGGATAATAGGAAATAATTGCAATACAGAAATTCTTTAAAACTGAATTCTAGATAAGACTGCTTTCAGAATTTGTAAGGCACGGACCATTCAACAGGGTCCCTTCTGGCCCATGAGGCCCGGAGAAAGGGCAGTTTCTCCATGCCCTCTCCCAGGCCAAAGGCCACTTCCCCAGGCCTCATTCCCCATCCTGGGATTATTGATCTTCTCAAGATCTTTGATGGTGGGAATATCCACTCTCTCTGGGAAAAATTCCCAATTCCTGCCAATAGTGCCGTCTGACCATAGGATTTCAACAAGACATTCACATCAAAACACAGTAGTTCAGCATGTATCAGACTTCTCAGCATCTGGCTTATTCAGTATGGAATAACATCACGAACGGGACACCAAGACTTCAAGCCACGTGGGGTTTAGCCTGGCCAAACCCAGTTCCTTTTCTCCAGATGAAGGTTGGGCTTGTGTGTCTTTCCTATAGTCCTGGAGACTTCTCTACATCTCGTGTAAAGACCTACATGAAAAAGAAGCCATATCACTCTAATGTCAGAGGCATTTGAACCAGAGCAACTCCATCTTGAATAGGAGCTGGGTAAAATGAGGCTGAGACCCACTGGGCTGCATTCCCAGACAGTTAAGACATTCCGAGTCACAGGATGAGATAGGAGGTTGGCACAAGATACAGGTCATAAAGACCTTGCTGATAAAACAGGTTGCAGTAAAGAAGCTGGCTAAAACCCGTGAAAACACAGACGGTCACAAGAGTAACCTCTGGTCATCCTCACTGCTACGCTCCCACCAGTGCCCTGACAGTTTACCAATGCCATGGCAATGTCAGGAAGGTACCCTATATAATCTAAAAGGGGGAGGCACGAATAATTCACCCCTTGTTTAGCGTGTAATCGAGAAATAACCATAAAAATGGGCAACCAGCAGCCTTCGAGGCTGCTCTGTCTGTGGAGTAGCCATTCTTTTATTCCTTTACTTAATAAACTTGTTTTCACTTTACTCTATGAACTCGCCCTGAATTCTTTCTTGCACGAGATCCAAGAACCCTCTCCTGGGGTCTGGATCTGGATCCCTGTCCAGTAACACTAAGATCAACCCATAACTTACTGATCTGGAATTGTGAGTGTGAGGTGGTTTGGAAGGATAATTCATCTGAAGCACTTAGCATCAGAGAGCTCAAGCAACAGTAGATATCAGTTTTTTAAATTACAATACAAATATTCCAGGCAGGGGCTGTTACTGCTTTGGCAGAGACAGACGCATCCAATGCTGAAGGAGGAAGTAGGAAGCCCGCCGTTAGGAGAATGGTCTCTTAGCCAGAAAGGAAGGGACAGGGGAAGGGGAAGAGGCTCTCCCAGGATGGGCAAGAGAAAGATGGAGCACAGCAGCTGCTCAGTTGCTCCTTGAAGGACCCCACCCTGAGAGCCTGAAGGCAGCTGCTGTCAGCCCCCAGGAGGCCTACAGACCAGAGCCCAGAATAGACACCAGGCTGCTTGGGGCAGTCTAATCCCATGGAGGGTTTTAACACTAATGCTGCAGAGCCCATGTGTCTTTCCACCATGCCACTGCCATCCATGCAACAATCAACACAGAAGGAAAGGGTCAAAAGTTGCTTTTGGAGCTTTGCATTTGCACATGGGTGTTTCTAAGACAGATGCTAATTAATGCTTGGGGGGGCTGCCAAAACCTTGTTTCTGAAATATTTTCTAGACCCTTTAAATTCATCAGTATAGACACAATGACGATAAACATTTTTATAGTAGACTTTCACACAAGACAAAGATCAAAGGCATGTGTAATCGATGATAAAAGGAAGTGTTTCGAGTGATAAAAAAGTCATTCTCAAGTATATCTTGGTGTTGATTTTATTTTTAATAGCTCAGCTATGAGACTGTGACTTTGTGCATATACTTAAAACAGAGCTAACATTGGAAGCCTCTAACTTCACAGTTAGAGGGTCTTCATGCCCAAAGCACCTCCAACCATCCAAGCCATGATGGCACTCATTCTGCTGTTCCATCCCTTTTCGGAAGATGTGCAGAAGTCATCCTCAGAGTCCTCGGCACTATGCTTATAATTTGGACTTTGAACACCACGTGATCTCTGGCACCTGGTTATGGGGGTCCAGTATCCACAGCCCCCACTGGGAATTATGGCATTTCTCTTTTGTAGCATACAATACCAAATAATTAGGCTTTTTCTGTGAAAATAAACTGCTTTTAATACATGTATTATTAAACCAATAAAGCATTAATATTTACTAATTACTAATTTAAGCAAAGTAAAACCTATTTCAGAGTAAGGGAAAAGCATGCAGAAACACACATTGTTATGAGCTGTTGATAAACAAGGCTTAATATAATCCTGGTTTTCCTCATTCTATCTTAAAGGGACATTTCAAACTCTTGCTTTCATAAACAAAACTTTGTAATTTGAAAGAGTCCAGGTTTTTATAATGATCACGTTCCTTAAAATTAAACGACAGTTTTCACTTTTCTTAAAGGGAAAAGTGTTCAAAACTTTCTCACAGAGAAAGCATTGATTTTCCTCTGAGTTCCTCCCATGAACTGTCTTGATCGCTGCCAACTCAGTTCCTTCTGTATTCTGTGCATGTGGAATACACTGTTTTCTGCTTAACGAGTTATTTCCAACCCCATCCCCAGCCACACCTCAGTTCCACGAGTGTTCGTGGCTCAATGACCTAGGGACCCCAAGCATTCACCATAAATAAGGCTGTTTACTGACCTATTTTTACTAGGACTACTGAGATATGCTGAACCCTGGCGGGGGTGGGAGTCGGGGGGATTGAAGGTACACTTCTCCCTAGCACCATCAGTCATTGTTCAGATATTTAAATTTCACAAACAGAATCAATGGCCTGCTGGGGGCATTGTCACTTACACCGAGCAGGGCCATCTGTCGCAGCACTGGCATTTTCAGGCATTTTAGATGACAGCATTGCGGGATCTCGTTCTTTGTTCGTGGATTTCAGGATGAAGTCCTTCAATGGGGCTTCATGACTGACCAAGGTTTGAAATTGATAATGTCCCCAGATGGGGACTTGCTGATGCGGCTGCATTCACAGCAATTAGAAGATAATCTGGTGTAAAAACTGTCCGGAGAGCGAGGGGCACAGAATCCCTGAGCTCAGGTTGAGCAGGGGAAGAGAAAGCCAGATCTCCATTCTGGAGGCAGAGTTTTCCACTTTTCCCTAAGGGGTCGTCTCAGCAGCCGGCCTCTCAGCTACAACGTGCGGAAATCTCACTGCCCGATGTGCTAATCACAGAATTGCACAGGTACTCCCTGAATCCAACTTGGGTTATTAAAACAACAATGAGGCTTAGGCATTTGGCTCAGTCCACCCCCAGGGTGACCAGCTGGTCACCTCACTCCGCAACCCAAATCCAGGGGATTCATTCGTTGTCTAGGAATAACTTCTTCCACCTTGGGAATTCTCTGATTTACTCTTACCTAGGTCCACTGGTCTTGACCAAAATGTGAGGTGTCCTTAACTTAAGGTTTTGACTTTTAAGAGGCAGTCGAGGAAATAATATTATGAGGTCTGTCTATTTCTTTAGTGGTCAAAGACAGATAAGTAAAAAGGCAAAGCTAGAGTCCGAATGTATGGCTGCAGGTTCAAGATTCCAGGCCAAGTTCTTGGAACTCCAGCACCTCTAGACTCACCAGCCCCACCAGCCCCTCTGGCCCCTCCAGCCCCACCAGCCCCACCAGCCCCACCAGCCCCTCCAGCCCCTCCAGCTCTGCTGCAGGAAATCCTGCCTCAGGGAATCATGATGCACCACCCAAGGAAGTATTTGCAGAAAAAAGAGATTCCATTATTGCCTTCCCTCAAGGGTGGTGTTGAGCCCATTAAGCTTTTCCCCAGCAGTACACAGAGTAATCTTAGGGATTCTGGTGGGAAAAATATCCCAAATTCTGCTTCCTTATGCTTCACCACATGACCCTAGGGCACACGCACTAATCAAGAACAGCCCAGGGCATCCTGTCACCCCCCACGGTGCACCTGCAAACTGGCTTTTACAGCAACCTTGTCTTCCAAATGGGTCCGTATCTTTCTAGGCATCTTTTGTAATGCTAACCTGTTTGGCATTACCCAGAAATGCTAACATTTCTACCACTTTAACTAATCTTAAGAGATTAAATCACACTCCATGATACTCCTGACAACAAATAGCATTTTAACCAGTAATTTACGATAAGAAGATTTTCAATCAGTGGGCTAAGCCCTTCCCTGGTGATTTAAGAAACTGCCAGCCTCGATGGAGATTCTTCCATCAATTCCTCATCATTATAAAAGAAACAATGGAGGAAAAACTCATCCAATTAAGTGACAATTCCAATGTGTAAATCTTGTAATATTTTTTGCATTTGTGATATGGGTTCTACACTAAAAATGCAACTTGTCTAATCTGAATGAGATGAAAAATCCTGAAAAAGGATGTTATCCTCAATATTTTGTTTGTGCCTCTTGATTTAGTAAACTCCCAACCACTTTTTCATCCTTCCCTGCCAAACCCCGCTACAAAATGTTTCTCATTATGACCTGAGACATTAATTCTGATTGTAGAGGTTTTAGATCATTTCTTCTAGGTGTTAATCAGTTCTGGCCATATGGTGAGGGTGAGGTAATCATTATTACTTTACAATGAATGCCCTTAATTACTTTTTCAGTAGTAATATTAGTCCTTCTGTTTATTTGAGTACCTAAGAGCTGCAGGCAACGTGATCTGAATTACATGGAGGACAAGCTCCAGCTGACTTTCCGTAAACTCGCATTAGGATTCTAATAGGAGACGACAGGAGCAGGTGGGGATAATGAGCTGGCGGAAGGGGCTGCCTATCACACTGCTCGGTGGCCCCTCTTTCACCCCCACTTTGCCTCAGGCATTTTCTACTCAGCTGTGACCTTACTTATGGTGATGCCAATCCAGTGGTCAGGAGCGAGGCGCCCAGCCTGTGTCTGAATCCTCCTACTGACCCTGGGGATCCGTGCGACTTGATCTTAGATATTGGTGGTGAAGCGCCGCTCTCCTTGACAGCATCCAGGAAAGGTAATTACCTTTGCCAAAATGCAAGTGGAAGTTCAAAGCCTCAGCCTTGAAGAGTGTCCCTGGAGACTTCCAGGCCCCCAATGTGAATGTGAAGCCCTCCTGCCCAGTGGGGCAAGGCGCCGGATTGACCTTCGCCTGAGTGGGAGGGCAGTCGCTGTTTGGGTCCACGTTAGGGGCGGTCCAGGTCAATTTAACTTGTCATATGCCACGGGAAGACATAAGGTAAGTTAATGATTCTAAGATGAATCAACTGCTCTTTGAGTCAGTCAGTATCTCTTGAGAATTCATTCACTCAATCCATGAATGTTTTTGACTCTCTACTATGTGTTATGGAACTGGGCTTAACGACATTGAAGTAAAGAGAGAGACAGAGATTAATTCACTGCCCCAAAGAAGGCCTGGAATCTTCTTAGGGAAAAGAATCCTCACAAAACACTCCACTGAGTATTCTTGTGTTTAGCCTGAGTCATGTTGATTTGAAAAATTCCAGCGTAAAAATTGTATATTTTCACACAGTGTGGTAGAAGGAATGCGCTTGTTCTCAGACTATGTTTTGCCCTGGAGATGGGTCCACAGGAAGCCTCTATCTTGGTCACCCTTTGGCACAAGCTTTGCACCTGTTCCCTTCTCCTTGCCTAGATTCTTGTCTCTTCTCTCGCTTTAAAGACCAGGAGTTGTTGTTGTTGTTTTAGAGATAGTATCTTGCTCTGTCACCCAGGCTGGAGTGCAGTGTCACAATCATAGCTCACTGCAGCATCAACCTCCTGGCTTCAAGTGATCCTCCCAGAGGAGCCTCCCGGGTGGCTAGGACTACAGCCATGTGCCATCAGGCTTAGCTAATTTTTTTATTTTTTGTAGAAATGGGGTCTTGCCATGTTGCCCAGGCTGGTCTTGAACTCCTGTCCTCAAACGATCCTCCCACTTCAACATCCCGAAGTGCCACCCATGCCCAGCAAGACCTGGATCCTTAACTCTTTGCCTGTCTTTGATCTTTGACACCTCCTGATCCCCAAGCCCCTGCCTCCCACTAGGCAGGCATTTTTGGTTAAAGTATGAGCTCCCACTTTGTATTTATCTCCAGCTTTGGGTGTTCAGTTTGATGGGAACCACAGGTGTCCCCACCTAGTTCTCCAGCCCTAATTTGTTTTCTCCCATGTTGCAGTTCCTGGCTTCTTCCCATTTGCCCACACCCTCATTGTGGCACAGTGCCCCAAACTGACACATGCCACAGGCTCAGAGTATCTTCTGATATGAAGAATGACTCTGGTCATTCGAGGGCAGAGAGGATTTCATGACCTTTCCCTGAGAACAGCAGCATGAACTGCAGGGTCAGCAAGGGGGTTGTGTCTGCCTGCTGCTAAGGTCAGATGCAGACAGCCCATGTCAGGGAAAGCCCATTTAGCATAAGAAGAGTAAAAAGAAGAAAATACCTCCTCAGCCAGGGGTACTTTGATGTGAACCAATACAATTAGTCTCTGAATGATGAATATAAATGATAATCAATGACGTATATGTGCTTAAAAGAAGGTGAGAAAAGATTATCACTGCCTAAACCTTCCTTTTAAAGGATGCCACAAGTGCATGGGTGGAGCATATAGGGTAGATAGGATTTTTTTTTTTTTTTTGAGATGGAGTCTAGCTCTGTCGCCCAGGCTGGAGTACAGTGGCGTGATCTTGGCTCACTACAACCTCTGCCTCCTGGGTTCAAGCGATTCTCCTGTCTCAGCCTCCCAAGTAGCTGGGATTACAGGTGCACGCCACCATGCCCAGCTAATTTTTGTATTTTTAGTAGAGACAGGGTTTCACCATGTTGGCCAGGCTGGTCTCAAACTCCTGATCTCAGGTGACCTGCCTGCCTCAACCTCCCAAAGTGCTGGGATTTCACGTGGAAGCCACTGTGCCCCAGCAGGGTAGATATGATTTAAATCTTTTTTTTATTATTGTTTTTTTGAGATGGAGTTTCACTCTTGTCACCCAGGCTGAAGTGCAATGGCACGATCTCAGCTCACTACAACGTCCACCTCCTGAGTTCTAATGATTCTCCTGCCTCACCCTCCCCAGTAGCTGGGATTACAGGCACCCACCACCACATCCTACTAATTTTTGTATTTTTAGTAGATACAGGGTTTCATCATGTTCACCAGGCTGGTCTTAAACTGCTGACCTCAAGTGATCCACCCACCTCACCTCCCAAAGTCCTGGGATTACAGGCATGAGCCAACATGCCTGGCCGACACGATTTAAATCTAATTAGATCACTGGAAGATACAGCAAAGTCTCAAAGTGGTTGTCTATGGATGGCACTATGAGTTACGTATTATTTTTCCAAAGCTCAGAATGTTCTGAATTTCTTTATTTTTGTTATTCATTTTGAGATGGAGTCTTGCTCTTGTTACCCAGGCTGGAGTGCAATGGCTCAATCTTGGCTCACTGCAACATCCGCCTCCTGGATTCAAGTAATTCTCCTGCCTTAGCCTCCCAAGTAGCGGGAATTACAGGCACCTGCCACCACTCCCAGCTAATTTTTTTGTATTTTTAGTAGAGTCGAGGTTTCACCATGTTGGCCAGGCTGGTCTCGAACTCCTGACCTCAAATCATCTGCTTGCCTCAGCCTCCCAAAGTGCTGGGATTACAGGTGTGAGCCACTGCAACTGGCCTGAATTTCTTTAAATAGAGAATCTCTATTGCCTTCATAATAACATGTTTTAAAGTTAGTTTTTATTTTAAATGTTAATTTGAAGTCAAAATGCTTTTCCTCTGACTGGGTGTTTAATGCATTTAGGAAAGGCTGAGCATGAAGCCAGGGTCGGGGGATACAGCCTGTTTGGAGGGGATTGTAGAAACGGAGACTCCCAACTGGGATTGACAGGAAAGGGTCAGAGCCCAGAGAGATGCCTGCTGGAAAAGAAGTGACATGGTTGAATATTTGCCCGGCTAAGTGTCATGCTGGAATGTGATCCCTAGTGTTGGAGGTGGGGCCTAATGAGAGGTGATTGGATCATGGGGGTGGATTTGTCATGAATAGTTTAGCGCCATCCTCTTGGTGCTGTCCTTGCGATAGTGAGTGAGTTCTCACAAGATCGGGTTGTTTAAGTGTGTGGCACCTTCTCTTGCTTTCTTGCTCTCACTTTTGCTGTTCGATGTGCCTGCTTCTACTTTGCCTTCCGTCATGAGTGAAAGCTCCTTGAGGCCTCCCCAGAAGCCGAGCAGACGCCATGTTTCCTGTACAGCCTGCAGAACCATGAGCCAATTAAACCTCTTTTCTTTTTTTTTTTTTTTTTTTCTGAGACAGAGTCTTCGCTCTGTCGCCCAGGCTGGAGTGCAGTGGTACGATCTTGGCTCACTGCAAGCTCCGCCTCCCGGGTTCGTGCCATTCTCCTGCCTCAGCCTCTCGAGTAGCTGGGACTACAGGCATCCGCCTCCATGCCAGGCTAATTTTTTGTATTTTTTAGTAGAGACGGGGTTTCACCATGTTAGCCAGGATGGTCTCGATCTCCTGACATTGTGATCTGCCCGCCTCGGCCTCCCAAAGTGCTGGGATTACAGGCGTGAACCACCGCGCCCGACCAACCTCTTTTCTTTATAAATTACCCAGCCTTAGGTATTTTACAGCAATGCAAAAACAGCCTAATACAAGAAGTAAGAGGAAAGATGATACCAACTTACCAGTAAGGGTACTAAGATGACACCCAAGTAAAATGCAGAACAGTTATCATTTCATTTGCTTGGCAGAAGGAGGGTGACAGTTTGTAGGGAGATATAATCCAACCAAATTGTTTAGGGAAATGTGAAACCAAATGGTTTAGGGAAAATATGATGAAATTCAATATATTTGAATTTGGGAATATATTCAATATATTTCAGTCCAATATATCCTTACAGAGTGAGGTTTGGCATGGTACCACTGTGGATCATTTGTCTTCTATTCAAAAGAAGGACAATGTCTATGTTAATGTTATGGTTCAGGAACCTAACAGCAAGTACAGCCTGCAGCCTGCACTCCCAGCCGCTCCTGCTTACATGAGACAACAGTGAGCCACAAGACAGTGTCCCCATCTGAACATGCTTGGCCCTGGGAATCATTAGGGACTCTTAAGAAGCAGAAAGTCCTGACCACCTAACAATGAGCACCAGCTTTTCACTTAATAGTTTCTGAATATTCACCAGGTCAGGTTTTCTTTTGTTTGTTTTGTATTTTTTGAGACAGGCTGGAGTGCAGTGGCACATTCACGGCTCACTGCAGCCTTGACCTCCTGGGTTCAAGTGATCGATCCTCCTGCTTCAGCCTCCTGAGTATATTATATAATATCTATATTATATGGATATATATTATATAGATATATATCATGTATAATATAGAGATATCTATATTATATAGATATATATTATATAGATATATAATATATAATATAGATATATCTATATAATATAGATCTATATTATATAGATATATCAAATATAATATAGATCTCTATTATATAGATATATCATAGATAATATAGATCTATATTATATAGATATATCTATATAATATAGATATATATTATATAGCTATATATATGCTATTATATATTATATATACTATAGATCTATATTATATATTATATAGCTATAGTATATATAATATAGATCTGTATTATATATAACATATAGCTATATAATATATATAATATAGATCTATATTATATAGATATACATATTATATATATTATATATAATATACATCTATATTATATAGATATAATATAGATCTATATTATATAGATATAATATAGATCTATATTATATAGATATACATATTATATATATTATATATAATATACATCTATGTTATATAGATATAATATATATATATATCTATATCTCAAGCAGGCCACTGTGCCTGGCCTGCTTGCTTCTTTTAACCTATGCTATTCCTATTTTTACCTTGACCTTAAAGCTGATTGGACTTCATTTTATGAGAGGATGCTGTGGCTTACCCAGGTCATAACCATTAAATTTATCACATTAACCAATGTTTAACCATGATCACAGATTACTGAGAATACTGGCAAGAAAATGAGTAACTACAAAATTGCAACAGGTTGTGTGCAATTAAATTTTTTTTTCAAATATATTTTAGGTTAACATTAAACATTCCAGTTATAATCTCTATTCTGCAGTTGATGCAGAGTTCGTGTTTTAAAAAAAGAACTGCCTTCACAGAAATGTGGACTTATATACTTTTATATAATAAACTTTATATTTTTAGAGCCATTTTAGGTTCACAGTAAAACTGAGCAGAAAATAGAGATTTCTGGTACCTCTTGCCCTCACACATGCACAACCTCCCTCCCTATCAACTTCCCCCACCAGAATGGTGGATTTTTTACAACTGATGAACCAACATTGATGTATTATCACCTGAAGTTTATAGTTTAGATTACAGTGGGTTTGGACAAATACATAAGGTCATGCATCTTCTGTTACAGTCTCATTCACTGCTGTATTAGTCTGTTCTCACGCTGCTGATACCTGAGACTGGGCAATTTACAAAAGAAATAAGTTTAATTGGACTTACAGTTCCACATGGCTGGGGAAGCCTCATAATCATGGTGGAAGGCAAGGAGGAGCAAATCACGTCTTACATGGATGGCAGCAGGCAAAGAAAGAATGAGAAAGACGCAAAAGCAGAAACCCCTGATAAAACCCTCAGATCCCATGAGACTTACTCACTACCATCAGAACAACATGGGGGAAACTGCCCCCATGATTCAATTATCTCCCACCAGGTTCCTCCCACAACACTTGGGGATTATGGGAGTACAATTCAATTTGAGATTTGGGTGGGGACACAACCAAACCATATCAACTGCCCTAAAAATCCTCTGTGCTCCATCTGTTCCTCCCTTCCTCCTTCCCCACTCCCTTCCTCCCCCACTCTACTCCTTGGCAACCACTGATCTTTTTACTGTCTCCATAGTTTTGTCCTTTCCAGAATGTCATATATAGTTGGAATCCTACAGTCCGTGGCCTTTTCAGATTGGCTTCTTTCACTTAGCGATATGCATTTAAGCTTCCTTCAGCCTTTCCATGACTTGATAGCCCATTTCCTTTTAGTGCTGAGTAATATTCCATTGTCTGGGTGTACCACAGTTTATTTTTTCATTTACCTACTGGAGGACATCTTGGATGCTTCCAAGTTTGAGCCAATTATGAATACAGCTGCTTACCAACATCTGTGTGGATATTTTGTGAGGACCTAAGTTTTCAACTCATTTGGATACATATATATATATACACATATATATAATACATACATATATATGCATATATATTTAACCAAAAATTATAATTAAAATATTTTCAAAATGTATTTAAAATGTTATTTATTTATTTTTATTTATTTTTTTGAGATGGAGTTTCACTCTGTCACCAAGGCTGCAGTTCAATGGCACAATCTCAGCTCACTGCAACCTATGCCTCCCGAGTTCAAGTAATTCTGCTGCTTCAGCCTCCCAAGTAGCTGGGATTACAGGCACCTGCTACCATGCCTGGCTAATTTTTGTATTTTTAATAGCAATGGGGTTTTACCATATTGGCCAGGCTGGTCTCAAACTCCTGACCTCAGGTGATACACCCACCTTGGCCTCCCAAAGTGCTGAGATTACAGGTGTGAGCCACTGTACCCTGCCCAAAAATATTTTTTAGACAAAAGTCATCAAATAACATAACAAGAATCTTCATGCTACTATCCAGCATACTAGCCCCATCCTTCCCAATCTCCCATCCCAAAAAGTAACCATTATTCTGAATTCATTGTGGATCATTCCCTTCCTCTGCATTTGTTTTGTTTTGTTTTGTTTTGTTTTGTTTTGTTTTGTTTTGAGACGGAATCTCGCACTGTCGCCCAGGCTGGAGTGCAGTGGCGTGATCTCAGCTTACTGCAAGCTCCGCTTCCCAGGTTCACGCCATTCTCCTGCCTTAGCCTCCCGAGTAGCTGGGACTACAGGTGCCTGCCACCATGCCCGGCTAATTTTTTGTATTTTTAGTAGAGATGGGGTTTCACTGTGTTAGCCAGGATGATCTCGATCTCCTGACCTAGTGATCCTCCCGCCTTGGTCTCCAAAAGTATTGGGATTACAGGAGTGAGCCACGGCGCCCAGCCTCCCTTGCGTTTCTTATACTCTACTTACATATGTATTCTTAAACAACACACTGTATTTTTGCGTGTTTTCAGCTTTATATCAGTGGTATTATACACTGATTATTTTGCAATCTGCCTTCCTCCTCTCCTGCCCCCACCCCTTATATGAGGCTTATGAAACGCATCCATATTGAAATGTTCAGTTCCCTCAATTTCATTGCTGTTTTGTGTGCCATTCTATAAACATCCCACAGTCTGGTTTTCTACTTCTTTGTTGATGGACACTTAGGTTCCTCCCAGATTGTTGCCACAATTGCCAACAATTAGATTACAAACAATATTAACAGAAACATCCTGGTACGTGACAACTCTGGCACTTAAGCAAAACTTTCTCTGGGACAGTGCTACTCAAAATATGGTCTGAGAACTGTTTGTTTCTGGTAAACCAATGCCCTGCTTCCTTAATCATGAAAATCTTACTATGAAACAAACATCAGCTAAACTTGACGTTATGTTGCATAATAAAGTTAATCTACAACATTCTGGTGCAAGTTCTTCCTTCTTATAGCAGAACTGGCGCTCTGCAAATAAGTGAACCTATATTCTCTCTCCCTCTCTCTCTCTATATATATATACACACACACACACATACCTATATATATGTATATATATAAAAAAAATTTCATTCCTGGATATATATATATATATATATATATATATATATATATATAGAGAGAGAGAGAGAGAGAGAGAGAGAGAGAGAGAGAGAGAGAGAGAGAGAGAATGAGAATATATCCAGGAATGAAATTATTTATCTTTTTTTAATTTTATTTATTTATTTATTTTAAGACAGAGTCTCACTCTTATTGCCCAAGCTGGAGTGCAATGGCACGATCTTGGCTCACTGCAACCTCCGCCTCCCAGGTTCAAGTGATTCTCCTGCCTCAGCTTCCCAAGTAGCTGGGATTACAAGCACTTGCCACCACACCTGGCTAATTTTTGTATTTTTAGTAGAGATGGGGTTTCACCATGTTGGCCAGGCTGGTCTCAAACTCTTGACCTCAAGTGATCCACCCACCTACGCCTCCCAAAGTGCTGGGATTACAGGTATGAGCCACTGCCCCTGGCCAGGAATGAAATTATTGAGCCAGATGCAGAATGGTCTACTTTCTAAATTACGGCAAACTGCTCCCACAGCTTAGTACCTAATATCGTAGTGTTAATTCCTACAAATCTGAAATCTTAAGAAACGGGTCTACCTCAAACATTATAGGGCCTGAGACAAGAACACAAATGAAACCCCTGAACAATATGTCTAAATATGAAAAAGTTTGAAGTCATGTGAATAAACTGTTAAATATCTTCTATCCTCCTACCTTGACAAAAATGCTTTTATAACAACCTGGAAGGCCAGGTTCAAATTTACAATTCTCAGATTTTTTTTTTTTTTTTTTTTTTGAGACGGAGTCTTGCTCTATCGCCCAGGCTGGAGTGCAATGGCATGGTCTCAGCTCACTGCAACCTCCACCTCCCGGGTTCAAGCAATTCTCCTGCCTCCAGCTTCCCAAGTAGCTGGAATTACAGGTGCGCACCATCACGTCCTGCTAATTTTTGTATTTTTAGTAGAGATGGGGTTTCACCATGTTGGTCAGGCTGGTCTCGAAATCCTGACCTCGTGATCCACCCACCTCGGCCTCCCAAAGTGCTGGGATTACAGGCGTGAGCCACCACGCCCAGCCTAGAATTCTCAGATTTCTTAAAGTCCACCCTGGAATGTGGGTGGCTGTGGAGAGCTGGCCCTTGACCTGCAGCACGACTACTCTCTTCCCATCTCCAGCTCTGCCCTGCACCTCAAGGACCTCCTGAGTGTGTTTACAGACACACAGCTTACGCGTCCAAACTCCATCTACACGCCCATAAACAGCCACCCCTTGGCCACTTTGGGAGGACAGGCTGCGTGTAGGAAAGAGCCTCCTCGATCCCTGGAAATGAACTTAGAGCTGCTTAGAGGATTTCACAGCCCATGCCCCGCAGTTTTGTGGTAGGAAAACAGGCTCCAATGGGCACAGCCTCTTGTCTCTGGGTACCTCTAGCCATTTGGGGATGGGAAGAACCAGAGGAGGGTCAGAGTTGAGCCTCTAAAATAGGCCCAGAGCTGGGCGTAGTGGCTCACGCCTGTAATCCCAGCAATTTGGGAAGCCAAGGTGGGCAGATCACTTGAGATCAGGAGTTCAAGACCAGCCTGGCCAATGTGGTGAAACCCCATCTCTACTAAAAATACAAAAAAATTAGCTAGCCATGGTGGCAGGTGCCTGTAATCGCAGCTACTCAGGAGGCTGAGGCAGGAGAATCACTTGAACCAGGGAGGCAGAGGTTGCAGTGAGCTGAGATCATGCTATTGTACTGCAGCCTGGGTGACAGAGCAAGACTCAGTCTCAAAAAACAAAAATGAAAAATGAAATGAAATAAATTAAGCCCAGAGCAGGGACCCCTCTTGCCAGGATATAAGGGCAATACTGGGAACTTTTTACTGTCAATGAGGTTTTCAAATTTTCAATGTTTGTTGTTCATGGTACTCATTAAGATAAAAATTTGTTATGCACCTATATTCATTTCTGCATTTCAATTCTTTATTTTGCCTATATGCATCTTATTTTGTGTTTTCTTTATCCATTTTGCCAGGGTTCTGTCTTATTAATCTTTCAAAGGACCAGCTTTGGGCTTGATTCATCTTTATTTTTCTGCTTTCTCCATTTTATGGACTTCTTTTTTTTTTTTTTTTTTTTTGAGACGGAGTCTCGCTCTGTCACCCAGGCTGGAGAGCAGTGGCGTGATCTCGGCTCACTGCAACCTCCACCTCCCGGGTTGAAGCAATTCTCCTGCCTCAGCCTCCTGAGTAGCTGGGACTACAGGCACACGCCACCACACCCAGCTGATTTTTTGTATTTTTAGTAGAGATGGGGTTTCACCATGTTAGCCAGGATGGTCTCGATCTCCTGACCTCATGATCTGCCCACCTCAGCCTCCCAAAGTGCTGGGATTACAGGTGTGAGCCACCGCGCCCGGCCTTATTGACTTCTTTAAGATCATTCTTTGAGTTCATTTGATTTAACCTTTCTTGTTGCCTAATTTATTTTGAGTGAAGAATTTTTCTCTAAATACTGTTTTGGCGGCTTCCCACCAATTTTAAAAGACGGTGTTTTCATTATTGCCTAGTTCTACATATTTTGTATTTTTATGATTTTTAAATCCTTTTAAAATTTATGATTCTTTAGTAGCAGGTTATTTATTTTCCAAATAAGTGAGCTTTTAAAATTTTTTTTATTTTTTGAGACAGAGTCTCACTCTGTTGCCCAGGCTGAAGTGCAGTGGCACAATCTCGGCTCACCGCAGCCTCCACCTCCTGGGCTCAAGCCATCCTCCCACCTCAGCCTCCCAAGTAGCTAGGACTTCAGGCATGTACCACCACACCTGTCTAAATTTTTGCATTTTTCGTAGAAACAGGGTCTCACCATGTTGCTCATGCTGGTCTTGAACTCCTGGACTCAAGCAATCTGCCTGCCTTGGTCTCCCAAAGTGCTGGGATTATAGGCATGAGCCACCTCGGATGGGCCTTTTTAAGCAACCCACTTGTTATTTGTTATTAGTTTTTAATTTTATTGCAATATGGTTAGAGAACATATTTTTTGTTTGTTTGTTTGTTTTGTGGGGTTTTTGTTTTGTTTTGTTTTAGAAACACGGTCTTGCTCTGTTGCTCAGGCTAGAATACAGTGTTGGAATCATAACTCACTAGAGTCTCGAACTCCTGGGCTCAAGTAATCCTCCCACCTCAGCCTCCTGAGTAGCTACGACTTCAGGCACATGCTCCCATGCCCAGCTGATTTTTTTTATTTTTTGTAGAGACAGGGTCTCACTATGGTACCCAAACTGGTCTCAAACTCCTGGCCTCAAGCGATCCTCCTCCCTCAGCCTGCCAAAGTACTGGGATTACAGGCGTGAGCCACAGCACCCGGCCCAAACTGAGTTTATCTCTAGAATGCTAGAGTGGTTTAGCATTGGAAAATCTATATGAATCTCTCTTTGTCAGTTTATCTAATTGAGATTAAAATTATATGATTTTTCTCAGTTTTTATAGAAAAAGCTTCATAAAATTAGTATTAATTCACCATTAAATTATTTTTTTAATGTGAAAATAAGATAAAGGGCATCTACAGCAACCATTATATTTAATACCAAAATGTTGAAGGCATTATCTCTAAGATTGATAATAATAAGTTAAGGGTGGGTCACGGTGGCTCAGACCTGTAAACCCAGCCACTTCGGGAGGCCAACGCAGGTGGATCACTTGATGTCCGGAGTTCAAGACCAGCCTAGCCAACATAGTGAAACCCCATCTCTACTAAAAATACAAAAACTAGCCAGGCGTGGTGGTGCATCTCTGTAATCCCAGCTACTCGGGGAGGCTGAGACATGAGAATTGCTTGAACCCAGGAGGTGGAGGTTACAATGAGCCAAGATTGTGCCACTGCACTTCAGCCTAGGCAACAGAGCAAGACTTCATCTCAAAAAATAAAAAATAAAAGTCAAGGATTCCTGCTATCAACACTTCTATTCACAATTGTACCAAAAATCCTGGCCAGGGCAGTAAGGCAAGAAAAAGAAACAAAAGTCATAGGAATTGGAAAAGAAAAAACAAAACTGCCTTTATCCACTGATGATGTAATTGTCTGCCTAAAAATTCCAAAAATAATCTAAAGATAAACTGTTGTATTAATTTTAACATTTATCGAAGCTGTTGGATACAAAATAAGTATGTGAACTCAATTACATGTCTATCTACCAGCCAGTTAGAAAAGTAATATATTTTTAAAAGAGTCATCCTTTCCAGATTCCTACAGGATAATGGCTACTTCTTAAGTCTGAAATTCTCCATTTATTCTCCAAAAGGCATAAAGATCAACAAGAAAAGCAAATGAAACCATCCCAAAAAGCCTGTCAACATCATCACAAAGAGAACGCTACAAATGTCCATTTACATGCAAGGAAGGAAATAAAGATACAAAATCAGCAGACCCAGCCCCAGAGCCCACACTGAAGCAGTCAGATGAGAACACACAGAAATGAGGAGAGGAAAGCCAGGTTCCTAGCGGTGGCAGAACACAAATAAAACATCACACCCAGAATGAAAGGGTCTTGCTCAGGATGGGGGAAATCTCAGAAGAGCTCTGAGACCAGGCTGATCTGGCTACTAAAGAATCAAAAGGAGGCCAGACTCGGTGGCTCATGCCTGTAATCCCAGCACTTTGGGAGGCCAGGAGCTCGAGACCAGCCTGGCCAACATGGTGAAACCCCATCCCCACTAAAAATACAAAAATTGGCCGAAAATCGCTTGAACTTGGGAGGCAGAGGCTGCAATGAGCCAAGATCATGCCACTGCACTCCAGCCTGGGCAACAGAGCGAGACTCTGTCTCCAAAAAAAGAGAATCAAAAGGAAGAAAGGTACTGTAGAGTGTGCAGGATCCGGGATGCAGCATTAGGACAGCACTGCTTCTGAGTGAGAGTTTGGAAGAGGAGGCATCTATTGAAGTGAAAAGAGAAAGTCAAGCAGTGGAAATTATGGATCCCACAGAAACAAAGAAGTCATAAAATTGGAAATACACTGACCTTCCCAGGCACCAGAAAATAAGTCATTTGTTAAAGAACCTGTACTTCACTGTACCAACAGGAGAGAGCCTTCTTAAACTAAGAAACCTCATCAGTCATTCAAATCCCTCACTCACTCCATAGACACATGTGTTAATGGCTGATCAAGAAAAATTCAAGACACTTTATAGAACTACCATTTGATGGTAGTTACTGGTATCTACCCAGAGGAAAAGAAGTCATTATACGAAAAAGATACTTTCACACACACATTTATAGCAGCACAATTCCCAATTGCAAAAATACAGAACCAAACCAAAAGCCCATCAATGATTTGATAAAGAAATTGTGATATATGTATCCCATGGAATACTACTCAGCCATAAAAAGGAATGAAATAACAACATTCGCAGCAACCTGGATGGAATTAGGGACCATTATTCTTTTTTTTTTTTTTTCCTTTTTTCGAGATTGAGTCTCACTCTGTTGCCCAGACTGGAGTGCAGCGGCACAATCTCAGCTCACTGCAACATCCGCCTCCTGGGTTCAAGCAATTCTCCTGCCTTGGCCTCCCAAGTAGCTGGAATTACAGGCACCTGCCACCACACCCAGCTAATTTTTGTATTTTCAGTAGAGAGAGAGTTTCACCATGTCGGCCAGGCTGGTCTCAAACTCCTGACCTCAAGTAATCCACCCACCTCGGCCTCCCACAGTGCTGGGATTACAGGCGTGAGCCACCACACCCGGCCTAGGGATCATTATTCTAAGTGAAGTAACTCAGGAACGGAAAACCAAACATCATATGTTCTCACTTACAAGTGGGAGCTAAACTATGAGGATGCAAAGGCATAGTGATACAGTGGACTTTGGGGACTCAGGGGAAAGGGTGGGAGGGGGATGAGGAATAAAAGACTACACATTGGGTACAGTGTACCCTGCTCAGGTGATGGGTCCACCAGAATCTCAGAAATCACCACTTAAGAACTTATTCATGTAACCAAACACTGCCTGTTCCCCAAAAACCTATTGAAATTTTAAAAATAATTCCAAGACACTTTAAAATAAACAGAAGAAGGCAGGCAACCTCCATAGGAAGTTACTACAAGAAGAAAACAGGAAGAATCCAAATTTTTCCACCAATAAAAATATTTCCAAAAAAAGGCAGAGAAAAACTATATAGCACATGCTTCAACATGAATTAAATATAATTAAACTAGCAGCAATGTATATACACACATACAAAAAAACATGAATAAAAAAACTCCTAATAGAGGCTGAACACGGTGGCTCACGCCTGTACTCTCAGCTCTTCGGGATGCCAAGTTGGGTGGATCACCTGAGGTCAGGAGTTCAAGACCAGCCTGGCCAACATGGTGAAACCCCATTTCTACTAGAAATACAAAAATTAGTCAGGCATGGTGGCACACACCTGTAGTCACAGCTACAAACAAAGAAAAAACTCCTAATAGAAAAAGACAAAAATGAGATGTAAAACAATTTATTTAGCTCAGAAAAGAAAGTGCAAGAAAAGACAAAATCATCTCAGGAATTAAGACCAAATTACAAGGTGTTCAGAGGAGAATAGTGGAATAAAAGCATCCAAGACAGTGAGCAATAGTGACCTACCCAGCTATGCCCATCATTAAGCCATTGGTGTCTCAGCTCCAACTCCTCCCTTCTATGCTCAGCTTTGTGATGTCAGGGCAACTACAACTGCATTTTGCTTTGCCAGCTGGACCCAGATTGGCCTTTGGCAAGAAGGGGAGCAAAAGGGAGACTGCAAGGCTAGAGGAGGAGGAAAGGATGAGTTTCCTCCTGTCTGCTCACTGCTCCTGTGAGTATCATCCTAGCAATGCTTCTTCACCCCGGCAGCAGCACTTCCTTTCTGCAGAAGCTTTTGAATGTGGTTTGCAGTTTGCAGTTTTTCTAGCACTTGCAGACCTGACCTCATACGGCCCATCTCATATTCACCAGAACCAGTGCAGAGCCCCCACCTTGAAGGTCTGAGTTTTAGCTCCAGGTGCCCCACCTCTAAGTTCCTACTTGTTCCCTTTCTTATTGTTTCTTTAACCCTGGGAGTGGACGCTGCAGTTGCTACCTCTATGAGACCTTAGAGTTCTCTTTTTATCCTGTTACAACTTTATAATGAACACATTTTTACCTAGTTAACACTTTTTATATTAAATTCTTACTGTTCAGCTAACTTGTGTGTATACTATCTCTTGGCCAGACCCTGACTACACTGGTGAACTTAAATAGAAAACTAACTTCTTGAAATGATCCTGGGTGGTTTATAGGATAAACAGAATGGCCTGAGAACGAGGCTTAAACAGATGGAAGCCCAGCCATGTTCATCCTGCAGGAATCATCTGGGCAAGACAAGCTCCTAATGCCTTTCACATTGCTGCACCCACCATCACCACCACAAATCCCAACATGCAGAAGATTATGAACAGACAGATAAGGCTCGCTCTGCAGATAGGTAGGGACAGGACAGTAAAGAAATTCGGAGGCAAGTTTTTAGACAGTTACACTTTTCTTAGATTCATCTCTCCAAAAAATATTTATCAAGTACCTTCTATGTGCTAGGCATCAGAAGGGAACAAAAATAAATGACATGGATCTTGTCTTAAAATCTAGACCACTGTTTCTCAACATTAGAATTTATCAAAATCTGGGATACTGTCAAAAATACCTCACCTCTGGAGATGCTGGGTCATTGCAGCGGGTGTGGAACCTACAACATATACTTTTTAACAAGCATCCCAGGTGATGCTGAAGTTGGTAGCCCACAGACCACTTTGAGAAACATTGATATTACAAACAAAAAAAAATATGCAGCAGACACAAAATCATGTGTAGGGGAAGAAAAATCATTGTTTCCTCAATCCTCATAGGTCTTTTAAAAACAAACAAACAAAAACGGAGTCTTGCTCTGTTGCCCAGGCTGGAGTATAGTGGCGTGATCTCAGCTCACTGCATCACTGCAACCTCCACCTCCCAGGTTCAAGTGATTCTCCTGCCTCAGCCTCCCAGGAAGCTGGGATTACAGGCACCCACCACCATGCCCAGCTAATTTTTGTATTTTTAGTAGAGACGGGATTTCGTCACGTTGGCCAGGCTGGTCTCGAACTCTTGACCTCAGGTGATCCACCCACGTTGGCCTCCCAAAGTGCTGGGATGACAGGCGTGAGCCACCGCGTCTGGCCACCTCATAAGGTTCTTAGTTGGAATAGACCCCATTTAAAAAAAAAATACACACACACACACACACACACACACACACGAGAAAAACAAGTTTATTTACATGTATATTTCACATCTACATGGCAGACACCCAGGAAAGGAGTAGTTCTCATGGCAGACACCCAGGGAAGGAGTAGTTCTCAAAGAAATAGCTTTGAATTCCAGCTTGTATAGCATCTTCAACAAAGAATAGTGATTTTTAGAGAAGTGACAGGACAAAGGAAAAGGACTTTGGGTCTCTAGAGGGGACTTCTCTGCGGGGAAGCAAGTAACCGGCAGATAAAAGCGAGTTGGTAAAGCATGTTCAGGTAGATTCCTCTGGCTCCTACTCCTGGCAGATAATGGTCTAAAACTGTCTTCAGTGGTTAACCTTTGTTCTCCCTGGTAAAAGACAGGGGCAGGATGTCTTTTATCTTGTAAATCTCTGTCCTGCATTTAAGCAAATGGAGGGCAGAGAGCTTTCCTGCATCTGTTTCTTCTTAATTGTCTTCAGCTCGACAATCCTCCTTTTGGAGTGGCATGTTCTGGACTCCCACACATGTCTGGAAGCAATGGTCAATTTCCCTAGAATGTAGATTTATTGATTAAAAAGAGACAAGGAAGAATTTCTTAGGAGGTCAGTTTTATGCCACTACAGGACTTCAGAAAAAGAACAGATCCTTCCTGCTTGATTTTAGGCAATAAATGCTTCCTATCTGACTGATCAGAAGACCACAGCCTTTAGAAAATATGACTCAAAAAATATTTTTCTTTGAGTTTTTTGACCAACCTTAAAAAAAAGTCCTGCAGGATATTTTCACTTAGGAATCACCAACAAACGTATTTTTTGTCTGTTACCACAAGAAAGCGTATCGGGTTTAAATATGTTTCTTTAATCGTACCCAGGCGAGCCTGACACTTATACTCTTTTGTATTCCTATATTCTTTCTTCCTCTTAATACATTTTTCTTCCTTCTTTCCTGGCTCCAAACCCCTAGTTTTCTCCCTTTCCTAATTGATGATTTTTTTCAATTCTTCAGCCACAGGTGCCCGATAAAATGGCCTTCAATCTCTGCCTTTACTTCCAGCGTATTACCTCACTCCCTCTCAAACGCCAATTAAAGGCTTTGTCCATTCCTGCTTAAAAAAATAGATGAAGGAAAATGAGATCTTTCTACCCAGAAAGACAAGTGCTTGGAAATTGCTAATTAGGTAACCAGAAATTCTGTCAATAATGAGCCCCAGGCTGGGTGCTGTGGCTTACGCCTGTATTCCCAGCACTTTTGGGAGGCTGACGCAGGCGGATCACGAGGTCAAGATGTCAAGACCATCCTGGCCAACATGGTGAAACCCCGTCTCCACTAAAAATACAAAAATATTAGCTGGGCATGGTGGTGCGCGCCTGTAGTCCCAGCTACTTGGGAAGCTGAGGCAGGAGAATCGCTTGAACCCAGGAGGCGGAGGTTGCAGTGAGCCGAGATCAGGCCACTGCACTCCAGCCTGGGCGACAGAGTGAGACTGCATCTCGAAATAATAATAATAATAATAAGTCCCCTCCCCTTGCCTGCCAAAGTGACTCCAATAATCACTCGACATGGACTTAAGAGCTGGTTTGACTTCCCATCTAAATTGCCGTGGCTCAGTGGCTCATGCCTGTAATCCCAGCACTTTGGGAGGCCAAGGCAGGCAGACACCTGAGGTCAGGAGATCGAGACCATCCTGGCCAACATGGAGAAACCCCGTCTCTACTAAAAATGCAATAATAAGCCAGGCGTGGTGGCGCATGCCTGTAGTCCCAGCTACTCGGGGAGGCTGAGGGCAGGAGAATCGCTTGAACCTGGGAGGCGGAGGTTGCAGTGAGCCACGGTCACACCTCTGCACTCCAGTCTGGGCGACAGAGCAAGACTCTGTCTCAGGAAATAAATAAATTGCAAGGAAAGGCAAAACAAATCTCACTGTGAATGTGGCTTGTCCATTTGCTGTAAAAACAGTCCTATTGCCTCCCTAGTGTGAAGCATCAGGTCCTGCTAAGAATGCTGGGTGGAAAGGCCTCTTTTGGAAACATGGCTTTGCTTTGGCAAATATTGTTGCTGATCTACCTGGGATAAGAGCTTAAGGTTCATTCTTACCTTGAGGAAGCAAAGGGGTTTTCATGTGTGTGAAATAGAAAATACCTTTCACGTTGCAAAGACGTTATTTTGAAAAAAAAAAAAAAAAAAATCAGGCCCAATGTAATGGAGAAGAGGTAGCACATCAACAAGATTCTGGAATAAATACAGTACTAACTCCCATCCCCCTGAGTACTAGCTACTAGTAAAATGAGATATCATGTTTCAGGCTTGACAGGGTCTCTGTTACAAACCATTCTTACATTCCTGGGCACAGAGCTAGTCTAAACATTCATAGAGCTCTTCAATTATATTTTGGCTCTTATATCAGCAGAGTTGAAGAGGAAAACAATGGCAGGGCATATGGGCCTCCTTTCACATACAGAGTAACAGAAACCCCAACTCAAAGGTCTTTTCAAAAAGGAAATATACTTATTCATAAAAAGAGAATTTCAGAGATAAAGCAGACTTTAGGTTACCCTCAGTGATGTTAGCAACAGCTCAGATTTTCAAATCCCAGCCCACAATCTATACTGACATCTTCATCTTGAAGTTGGCTGTCCTCCTAGGTGTAAAGTGGCTGCCAATAACAACTGGACTTTCTCTCTAAGGAGGGAGGAAGGACTTCCTTGGAAATCACAAGCAAATCTCTCCCCGAGGCTCTGCAGCCACAACTTGGTCACATTTCCATTTCTAAACCAATTCTTGACAAAAGGGAACATATTATCCTTAAATTATTTCAGCCCAGGATAAGCTTTCCCTCTGATACTTGGCCGCTTAGTGGAGGGTGGAGGGTTGGAAAAAGTCAGGCCTCTGTTACAGGAAGAAGGAGAAATGCTGAGTGGGCTACCAACAGTGTCCCCCACCTGGAGGGGGAGTCTTCGCTGAGTAGGAGCTTGAAATGGCTAAGTTAAAAACGGAAGTACATCTGAGGACCCTTCCAACTAGCAGATTCCAAGAAGACTCAATAATGCCTGATCCCAAATCCATTCTGAGCTGAGGCACTGTGTAACATCAGCAAACTGTGCAGGTTCTGCAAGAGGCACAAAGATAAATAAAAATGGTTCCATCTGGACTTTATTGCACAGTGAGAGTCATATGAGGTATCTGTAAACAACAAGAAAAGGTAGAATCACTTTGTGGGAAGTTTGATCCACAAGTAAGACTTCTGTGATGGTTAATTCTGTCGACTTGATTGGATTGAAGGATGCAAAGTATTGATCCTGGGTGTGTCTGTCAGGGTGTTGCCAAAGGAGATTAACTTTTGAGTCAGTGGGCTGGGAAAGGCAGACCACCCTTAATATGGGTGGGCACCATCTAATCAGCTGCCAGCACAGCTAGAATATAGAGCAGGCAGAAAAATGTGAAAAGACTAGACTGGCCTAGCTTCCCAGCCTACCTCTTTCTCCCGTGCTCGATGCTTCCTGCCCTTGAACATCAGACTCCGAGTTCTTCAGTTTTGGGACTCGGACTGGCTGTCCTTTCTCCTCAGCTTCCAGACAGCCTATTGTGGAGCCTTGTGAGCATGTGAGTTATTACTTAATAAACTCCCCTTCATATAATATTTTATGTGTGTATATATATCCTATTAGTTCTGTCGCTCTGGGGAACCCTAATACAACTTCCGAGGAGGGAGATCACTTCTGAGCAAATTATGAGGAATGGCAGCAAGAAGAAGGTGGCTTCTGAGCTGAGCCTTGTGAGAGATCAAATTTTACATAGTATGGGGGACAAGCATTCCTGGGTAAAGGGACAGCAATGGGGCAGGGCTAGTTAAAAAACAAGATGAGAGCATTATCTTCAGTGTAAATTGCTCCCCCACCAAAAGGACAAAGTGTCTGACTCACCACCTAGTGACTTCACTGGATGTTCTCCTTCTGCTCCACAATCCACCCCTCATTCTTCTCCACCTTCTTGTTCTGTGGCCCCAGAGGCTGGCCTTATGGACTGTATCAACTAGGCCACCTTGTTCCTGGTGTGAATTGGGTTCGACTAAGATGGTATGGGCAGGAGATGACAGAGTGAGAGGAAAGAGAGTTGGAGGTATGATTCCTCCAGCGTGCTCCTTGCCAGACTGTAGGTGGGCAGTAGCCATATTCCTCTAGCAAAAGCTATGGCTTTCCCCAAACAGCCCTTCCCCATAACTAGTGACATGGGAGTTGGGCAGGGAAGTGCTGGGTAGAGAAGGGCCAGGTCCCTGGTGAGGGCTCCACCCTCAAGCCTGTGCCACAGATCTAAGTGGGAACAGGCACTCCTGTTTTCATGACTGAATGTTGCATTTTCCAAGACCACCCTGGCCAACCAAGCCCCCCATCCTGTACCCATATAAACCCAAGACCTTAGTGGGTACACACACAAGCAGCTGAATGTCGAGACCAGCAGACCAGTGACAGCAGAACGATGCAGCAGAGAAGAAAAAGAGGGACGTCTTGATGCCGAGGGAAGGTCGGCCAGGGGTGGTTGGAGAAGGGTCCGGCTGCTGGGCAGCCCAACTCCAGGGAAAGATTATTTCCCCCACCCCTTCAACTTCCGGCTCCCCATCCATGTTGCTGAGTGCCGCCTCCATCACTCAATAAAAACTTGCACTTATCCTTCGAGCCCATGTGTGATCCGATTCTTCTGGGACACTGGGCCAGAGCTCAGGGAACAGAGGCTGTCACACTGGCCCTCTGCCCTTGCAATAAGGCAGAGGGTCCATTGAGCTGATTAGCACACAAGCCATCTGCAGATGGCAAATCTGAAAGAGCTTGGGTTACACGTGCCCACCTGGGCTTTGGGAGTTGCAGACACCCACCCCTAGACATTGCTGCGGGGCCAAGAGCCCAAAGCATTCATCCCGGCATCTGCACCTGCCAGTCTGCATGCTCCCCCTAGGGGTTTGAGCTGCAGGGCAACCAAGCAGGTGAGCCACACCTGTGTTGCATGTGCTGCAGGGGGAATCAGGGAACGCTCCCATTTCACTAGCTTTCAGTACCTGCTCCCTCCCTGTCCACCACACTGGAATAGCAACCTTGCAGCATTGCCAGCCCTGGGGGCTTCATTATAATGCCTGGTTTCCTTGCACTATCAGTGCCTCTATAGAAAAGGCGCTTGATTAAATTCTCCCCAGTCAGACCTTCTGAATATTCCACCTGCTTCTGGCCTGGACCATGACTGACAGAGATCTTTGTAGTCAACTGAAGTTAGCCAGTGATTTTTTTTTTAATTTCCATTGCTGTTTTCTTATTTCTTGGTTCTAAGTATCTTATTTCCTCATCTTCTAAGTGTGGCATTAATAATGAACTTCCCATCAGATCTATAAGTTGAAACTCTTTCATCTCTACCTTGAAGAGCTAGATATTTCTTTCAAAATGTTGGAACTATACAAATGACAAAAGAAAAAATAGAGAAATTGGACTTCATCAAAATTAAAATCTTTTATGCTATAAAATGTATTATCGACAAAGTGTAAAGCAACCTGCAGAATGGGAGAAAATATTTGCAAATCATATCTGATGAGGGACTTATATCCAAAATATAGAATTCTTACAACTCAATAAATAACCCAATGTTTTTAATGGGCAAAGAATATGAACAGATATGTCTCCAGAAAAGATTACAAATAGCCAATGTGTACATGAAGAGATACTCAACATCATTAGCCATTTGAGATATGCAAATCAAAGCCAGAATTAAAACCACTTCATCCCCACTAGGATGGCTATAACTAAAAAGGCAAGTAATAACACGTGCTGGCTGGTGAGGATGTGGAGAAATTGACACCCTCATGCATTGCCAGTGGGAATACAGGATGGTGCCAGCCACTTTGACACTTCCTCAAAATATTAAACACATACTAGATCTTTTCCCTTTTATTTTTAGTTGGCACATAATATTTATGTGATACAGAATGATATTTCCATACATGTATACAATGTGTAATGATCAAATCAGGGTAATCAGTATATCATCACCTAAAATATTTATCATTTTCTTGTGCCATAAACATTCAAAACCCTCTCTTCTAGTTTTTTGAGAATATAGAATAAATTACAGTTAACCATCTTCACCCTACTGTGCTACAGAACAGCAGAACTCATTTCTTCTATCTAGCTGTCATTTCGTATCCATTAACCAGCCTCTCCCTGGAGTCTCCTCCTCACCACTCTTCCCAGACCCTAAGACTCACTGTTCCACTCTCTATTTCCATGGGCTCAAGTTTTCTTTTTAGCTTCCACATATAAAGGGAACATGTGGTATTTATCTTTCTGTGCCTGATTGATTTCACTTAACATAATGACCCAGCAATTCTACTTCTAGGTATATACTCAAGAAAGTGAAAATATGTGTCCACACAAAAGCTCTGTACACAAATAACGTGCATAGCAGCATTATTCATAATACTCAAAAAATGGAAACAACCCAAATGTCCACCAAATGATGAATGGATAAATAATTCGTGGTCTACCTATATAATAAACTATTACTGGGCAATTAAAAGGAATGAAGTTCCGATTCATGCTACAACATAGTCGGACCTTGAAAACATCACGCTAAGTGAAAGAATTCAGTTACAAAATACTACATGTTTGATTCTATTTATGTGAAATGTCCAGATTGGCAAATCCATAGAGGTAGAACGTAGATTAGTGGTTGCCTGGGGAGACTTAGGGAGAAATGGGGAGTGACCGCTAATGGGTACAGGATTTCTTTGGGGGATGATGAAAAAGTTCTAAAATTGACAGTGGTGACGGTTGCACATTTCCTTGAATATACTGATAACCACTGTAAACCTTGAATTGGTGTATTACCTGTGAATGATAAAGCTAATAAAAATTAAAATGGTGTGTTTTAAAATTTTGGAACCAACTAATTCTAAAAGCAAATGTTGCCAAAATTTCCAGAATATCTTTGTCTATAATCTTTAGGCTATTTCATGTGTCTGACAGCTACTTAGTAGCCTCAAAAGAAATGTGAGAACAAATTAGTAGCTTACTGATCACCATCTTTCCACCCTTTAACCCAATTTGTTTGTTTGTTTGTTTTTTCCAGAAGCCAAACCCACACCAAAACATGAACCGGGGGATGGAATTTATTGCTCCTGTATCAGCTCCCACCAAATCTGGTGCCCCGTGGCATTTTCTTTCTCAAGGTCCCACGGATGCCCAGAGAGCAGTCAGAATCAGGCCAGGCACCAGGATGGGCTTGTCCTCAGATCCAGTTGTCGGCACCTTGTCTTCCAGTTACCTAGATCTGCTAACTCTCTCTTACAAGCCTGGGAGGACAGTGACAAGTTCATACCTAAACGTAAGCTCCGAAGTGTCTTAGCACCTCCAAGTTTAAGGAAACCCACGGGATGCTCTGAAACTTCCATGAAAATGAAGATTGGAGGGATTGTTGCATTCTTGCATGCCTGGATGTTTCATATTCTCTGAATGTCCAGCATGAAACTGATCTGATCCCATGCTTTTTTGCCAACTTGATTTATGTTAAGATAAAAGAAAGTGCCCCTTACCAAGATGCTCTGAAAGCACCTTCTCCCTTGTATTAATGATAACTAATGTTATTAAGAGAACATAAGGCAACTTTAACAAAATAAGAGCTCACTAAAGGGGATCCTGTATGGGAATTCTTCGTGCAAATGCCATTTCGGAGCTGGCATTGTACTTGCAGATGGAGTCTCTACAGGAAGCTATGGCTTCGGTCCTACGTGAGCCCGTACAACCACTCAGCACATAAAGTTCCATGAAATTGGTGCCTCAAACCACAGTATCTATAAAGGAACTCCTAACTTAAAAAGTAATCCATCAATAGTAAGGATTTTTAAACTTCAGCCTAAAAATTTTAAATACTGTTAGTAGTAATAAAGCAATGAGATTTCTCTAAAATTATTGTTGCCTGTATCACTTTAAATCTTTGACATAAATGAAAAGTTGCATGGAAAATGCTAAAGTTCTAAGCAAATAGGTTGAGCATTAATAAATAGGAAGATGAAGTAAGTGAAATTGATTTTGTTAGGAACTGGTGGGAGCTGGTAGAGATAGCGATTTTTTTTAATACTTTTTAAAATTTTTATCTATTTACTTATTTTGAGACCAGGTTATAAGACTGGCTAATTTTTATATTTTTGGTAGAGAAGGGGTTTTGCCATGCTGCCCAGGCTGGTCTCAAACTCCTGGGCTCAAGCGATCCACCCACCTTGGCCTCTCAAAGTGCTGGGATTACAGGCATGAGCCACCATGCCAGGCTGAGACAGTGTTTTAAACTGTGCTATTGATGTTCTAGGGAAAAGGTAAATCATCCTGAGATAACAGAAGTCTTCGTAATCCACATGTAGGTACGTGGGCATGAAGTAAGAAAGCTCCAGAATTCTGTTGAGGCCACAAGGATTTCCAGAACTGACAGCAGTTAAGAATTTTGCAGAATCTAAGAGTCACATCTCTAAATTTGTGTAGATTGTGAAATCTCTTCTTGCAAGAAAAAAGAGAAATAGCTGAAGTTCTGGAAATAACAGTTGATGAAAACTTGGTAATCTGAAGTCTGAACTTTGAACACCAGCAGACAGGCTGAGAATTCTCTTTGATCATGAGCCCAAGTTCCACGTGTACCTGCAGGAATCTGTGTGGCATTTGTGCACTGGTGTGGGGCCCAGGAGAGGACCACGGAGTGACAAGCCACCAGGTTCTAAAGGGAGACGAAGATCCCCAGAGGACCTGGATAGAGATGTTTCCCTGACCATTGTCTGCTGTGTGCTCCCGATGATGAGACTCTAGAGTTTACAACTGAAACACACTGTCATTTATGATATTATTTGTAATATCTGGTATGTCTAAGTAAAACATGCATTCAGTAAAACTCGCGATGAAACTTATCTCATTGTGTGGATTTCATTCTTCTCAATTCTTTTATGTTTTCTGGGGTTTTTTCTAGATGGAGTTTCACTCTTGTCGCCCAGGCTGGAGTGCAATGGTGCGATCTCGGCTCCCTGCAACCTCTGCCTCCCGGGTTCAAGCGATTCTCCTGCCTCAGCCTCCCGAGTAGCTGAGATTACAGGTGCCTGCCACCACGTCCAGCTAATTTTTGTATTTTTAGTGGAGATGGGGTTTCACTATGTTGGCCAGGCTGGTCTCGAACTCCTGACCTCAAATCATTTGGAAACCACCATATTGAGTGTGCAGGAGGGGAAATCCTACCAGTTTGAAATGCAGTTTGGCCGCTTCTTTACTCTGTGATAATATTGTGTTTGTCAGCAAGGGTTCCCTAGCAAGGTACCACAGAGCGGGGTTGGGGGACGGGCTTAACCAACAGAGGCACATATCCTCACAGTTCTGAAGGATAGAAATCAGAGACCAGGGCATGGGCAGAGCCTTCTGAGGCTCTTTGACTTGTATAAGGCCATTCTCCCTGCGTCCTCACATGGTCGTCCCTCTGTGCATGTCTGTGTCCTAATCTCTTCTTCATATGAAGACACCAGTCACACTGGATTAGGGTCTACTCAAATGACCTCATGTTAACTTAATTACCTTTTTAAAGGCCCTATCTCCAAATACAGTTGCATTCTGAGGTTCTAGGGGTCAGGACTTCAGTATATGAATTTTGGGGAGACAATTCAACTGATAACAATTGTATTAGTCTGTTCTCACACTGCTACAAAGAAATCCCCAAGACTGGGTAATTTATAAAGGAAAGAGGTTTAATTGACTCTCACAGTTCCGCATGGCTGGGGAGGCCTCAGGAAGCTTACAGTCGTGGCGGAAGGGGAAGCAGGGACCTTCTTCACAAGGCGACAGGAGAGAGAGGGCATGCAAAAACGAGGAAGTGCCACACTTTAAAACTGTCAGCGGTCATGAGAACTCACTATCATGAGAACAGCATGGGGGAATCGCCCCCATGATCCAATCTCCACCCTCCCTCAACACACGGGAATTACAGATCCCTCCCTCAACACACGGGAATTACAGATCCCTCCCTCAACACACGGGAATTACAGATCCCTCCCTCAACACACGGGAATTACAGATCCCTCCCTCAGCACACGGGAATTACAGATCCCTCCCGCAGCACACGGGAATTACAGATCCCTCCCTCAGCACACGGGAATTACAGATCCCTCCCTCAGCACACGGGAATTACAGATCCCTCCCTCAGCACATGGGAATTACAGATCCCTCCCTCAGCACATGGGAATTACAGATCCCTCCCTCAACATGTGGGGATTACAATTAGAGGTGAGATTTGGGTGGGGACAGAGAGCCAAACCATTATCAACTGTGAAAACATTATGTAATAATAATAACAACAACTTCCAGAGATAGCTGTGTTGCAGGCACTGTCTTAAGTTCTTACATGTATCATTTCATTAATCTTCTAGGACAACAGTCCTAAAAGAGAGGTCCTATTTTACAGATGAGGAGCCCAAAAACGAGCTTAGGGTCACACACAGCTAGAATGTGGGACTTGAACCCAGGCAAGCTCAAGGCTCTTGGTCAATCCATGGAAGGAGAGAAAGGAAAAAGAAGGGAGGAGGGAGGAAGAAGGGAAGGATACCAGGGACCACAGTAGTGAAAGGCTGGGTTTCCTGCTACTACAGTGGGTAGGGCTCAAACAACCAAATAGAAAAATTTTTTAAAAATTCTAACCACACTCACCAACCCTAAATTAGTAAACTATTTTTTATGCATGTCCTTATGTCCTAGAAAATGGAGTCAAACTGGTTTTTGTTGTGATAGTAGTTTTTGAGACAGAGTCTCGCTCTGTCGCCCTGCTGGAGTGCAATGGCTCTATCTCAGCTCACTACAACCTCCGCCTCCCAGGCTCAAGTGATTCTTCTGCCTCAGCCTCCAGGGTAGCTGGGATTACAGGCGCACACCAGCACGCCCAGCTAAGTTTTGTGTTTTTAGTAGAGACAGGGTTTCGCCATGTTGGCCAGGCTGGTCTCAAACTCCCAACCTCAGATGATCCGCCCGCCTTGGCCTCCCAAAGTGCTGGGATTACAGATGTGAGCCACAATGCCTGACCTACTGCAAACTGTTTTATAACTAGCTTTTCACTTAACAAGATGTCAGTTTACTTCCATGCCATTCCTTTGAAACATATTATTTAGTGGCTGCATTGTATTCTGCTGTATGGGTGCACCATTATGTAGCCAATCCACATTCACTGGACATTTGTGTTCTTTCCAATTGTGTTAGTCCATTCTCACACTGCTTATAAAGACATACTCAAGACTGAGTAATTTATAAAGGAAAGAGGTTTAATTGACTCACAGCTCAGCAGGGCTGGGAAGGCGTCAGGAAACTTACAATCACGGTGGAAGGGGAAACAAACACGTCCTTCTTCACATGGTGGCAGGAAGGAGAAGTGCCGAGCAAAAGGGGGGAAAACCCCTTATAAAACCTCAGATATCGTCAGAACTCACTATCAGGAGAGCAGGATCGGGGAAGCCGATCTCATGATTCAGTTGTCTCCACCTAGTCCCTCCCACAACACGTGGGGATTATGGGAACTACAATTCAAGATGAGATTTTGGTGGGGACAGAGCCAAACCATATCACCAAAGAACATCATTGTATTTCAGATCTTTAAAGTATCTACAATGCTGATTTCCTTACAATAAGTTCCTAGATGTAGACTTTTGGGATCTCTGAGAATGCAGATGTCTAAGGTTTTTGCTGTTGTTGAAACCTCTACCTGCAGTGGGTACGATGGGAAAAAGATTTTTAGGATGGAAGAAATTAGCATATTTAATCGCTCAAGTCAATAAGGTGAAGAGGTAGAGATGAAAGATACAGAAGGAAGCAGGGCACACTGGCTCACACCTGTAATCCCAGCACTTTGGTAGGCCAAGGCGGGCAGATCACTTGAGCTCAGGAGTTTGAGAACAACCTGGGCAACACGGTGAAACCCTCTCTAGTAAAAATGCAAAAATTAGCCGGGCATGGTTGTGGGCACCTGTAGCCCAGCTACTCAGGAAGCTGAGATGGGAGGATCTCTTGAGCCCAGAAGATCCAGGCTGCAGTAAGCCAAGAGTGCACCAATGCGCTCCCGTCTGGGTGTTAGGAGTGAGACCCTGTCTCAAAAAGAAGAAAGAAAGAAAGAAAGAAAGATACAGGAGGAGAAATGGATCCTGTGTGGAGCAGTCTCCCCAGTGAGGTTGACGGGATGGAACTAGAGCTTTACAAAGGAACAGGCATACTTCTCCCATTTTAGCTGCCTGTAAATGCAGTTTTGTTTAGAGTGCTCTAATAGTGTCTCTTTAATAGTGTTTATTTTCTCTATGAAGTAGGACACAAAGTCATCTGCTGCAAAGGAGGAACTGTGGGTTTGGAGGCTTCTGAAAGTCATTAAAGGAACATTGCTAGGAAGATTGAGGACCTACATTCCTACAATCAACTGCATTCTCCCTTACTAGATGTGTATCTGATCTCCGAAAATCACCCCTTTTGGTTGAAAAGACTCATCCCAGCCGGGCACAATGGCTCATGCCTGTAATCCCAGCACTTCGAGAGGCCGTGGCAGGTGGATCACCTGAGGTCAGGTGTTTGAGACCATCCTGGCCAACATGGTGAAATCTCATCTCTACTAAAAATACAATAATTAGCTGGGCGTGGTGGCGTGTGCCTGTAATCCCAGCTACTCGGGAGGCTGAGCCAGGAGATTCGCTGGAACCTGGGAGGCAGAGGCTGCAGTGAGCCGAGATTGCACCACTGCACTCCAGCCTGGGCGACAGAGCGAGATTCTGTTTCAAAAAAAAGAAAAGAAAAGAAAAGAAAAAGACTCATCCCTTCTGGGGCCCCTGACCCCTGGGTGTCTGTAAAGTCTACTCCTTCTATATCATGAACTTGAGAACACCTGTCCATTCCATCTCCTAAAGCCTCAGGAAACACATGCACCTGTTTCCCTGAAGCCCTTCCTGGGCCCCCAGCAACCTGGAAACCTACATCCTGCAATATAAGAAGTAGCTCCTGGCCGGGCACAGTGGATCATGCCTGTAATGCCAGCACTTTGGGAGGCTGAGGTGGGTGGATCACAAGGTCAGGAGTTCAAGACCAGCCTGGCCAAGATGGTGAAACCCCATCTCTACTAAAAATACAAAAAATTAGCCAGGCGTGGTGGCAGGAGCCTGTAATCCCAGCTACTCAGGAGGCTGAGGCAAGAGAATTGCTTGAACTCGGAGGGCGGAGGTTGCAGTGAGCCGAGATCATGCCACTGCACTCCATCCTGGGCGACAGAGTGAGGAGAAAAAAAAAAAAAAGAAGCAGCTCCTATTCTATCCCCTGAACCCAGCAAAAGCTTCTGTTTCTCAGAATGTGCCATTAACGATTTCCATGAGTCCTAGATTTCGGGATTCTCCAGTTCCTCTGATATTACAATCTGGCAAGAGGTTTGGACAAATAGGACATATTTTTGGTTAAGTATCTGTTGACGGTTCTATAGAAGTTTGTTCTACCATTCTTGAAGCTTTTCTGTAGGTTTGAAATTTTTCAAAATAAAAACTTAGTAAATGAGTAATCCAAGACTCTGTCCATATTCTTTTTCAAACCAAATCAGCCTGGGGCACTATTTCCCCAGATGAAGATTCTTGACACCTCTCAAGGAGAGGGAGACATTCCTTGGAGCCATCAGTGGCACCCAGGAACAAAACCAAACTCAGCCCTAGGATCCCCCTTAGAGAAACAAACTGCGCATGCCAGGAGACAGAAGGCTCCTTGGTGGATGGGCTGTGATCAGCATCCGCCCTTCCAGCTGCCCCTTTGACTCAAGCACAAGCACTTCATCTTTTTGCTGTCTCCCGTGAAACCCCACTGCCACAATAGTTAGCTTCTGCTCTAGTAAGAAATGTCAGCAGAGGCTTCCTGGCTGGGATGACTAAGAGTTAATTTAGCGTTCAGCTGGGCGTTGCCCAGTCCCCTTGTCTGGTTCTCACCTCTGTTGTGTGTCCAGTCTGCTAGCTGTTCACTCACCTTCCTGCTGACTTACTGCCTTGCCTCATCTGGCCTTGCCCTTTAGTTCCTGGAAAGTCCCTGGCTCCTGACTGTTATCTGACCTTCGACCTACTGCCTCTCTTGATTAACCTTCAGATTTCTGCCTGCCTGATTTCAACCACTTCCTTGAACTATGCACATATTCCTGATATTAAAGCACTGACCATGACATTCACCCATTTCTTAGGGTCTGACCAACCCTCAGCACCTCCTTGAGTTATGTGCACCCAGCCTCTCTCCAGTCTTGTTAAATGTGGCATTCACAGATTGTCCAGCCCTGCAGAGCTCACTTAAGCTATCATGTATGTTTGTAACATCGGCATTAGAACAAACCCGACATTCACAAATTTGGTCCTGAAACTCCCTGACCTTTATCTCACATCTGGTTCTGTATACATCTTTTGTGACTTCATGTGCTGCGACACCTGGCATTTTTATCCTCCTCCCATTGTTCAGACTTTCCAGCCCCAGCCCCCCACCTCCTAAGAGGAAAGGGGGACTAGAGGTTACACTGGTCACTAGTGGCCAATGACTTAATCAATCATGCCTATGTAATGAAGTTTCCGTAAAATCCCAAAAGAAGAGAAAGTAAAAGTAAAATAATTTTTTAAAAAGAATATAAAAATTAAAAAAAAAAAAGGACAGGTTGATAGAGCTTCCAGATGGCCAAACATATGGAGGTTCCTGTGTAACTGCCCAACAGGTTCACCTTGCCCACTCACTGCCTAGACAGAGCCAATTTCTCAAGACAGGGGAATTACAATAGAGAAGGAGGAATTCATACAGAGCCAGCTGTGTGCAAGAGCAGTTTTATTATTACTCAAATCAGTCTCCACATCTGGTGTCAGAAGTGATCTGTGTTGTGAGAGCATAGTAGGAGAAACTGCTTTTGTTTTCTCCTCTATCTTGTCAGGAGCGTAGGAATGGAGTACATTTTCTATTTCCCAGGCCAGGGGTTAAGCTCACTAACACACAATGAGCAGCTACAAAATGATTTTTTAAAAATCAACAACCCAATAAAAAAGTTGGCAAAGTATAGGTAGGAATGAACGATTTACAAAAAACAAAATACAAACGGCTCTAAAACATATAAAAGATACTCAACCTCAGCCGGACGTGGTGGCCCATGCCTGTAATCCCAGCACTTTGGGAGGCTGAGGCATGAGGTTAGGAGATCAAGACCATCCTAGCCAACATGGTGAAACCCCGTCTCTACTAAAAATACAAAAATTAGCTGGCCATGGCAGCGGGTGCCTGTAATCCCAGCTACTCAGGAGGCTGAGGCGGGAGAATTGCTTGAACCTGGAAGGCAGAGGCTGCAGTGAGCCGAGATCACGTCACTGCACTCCAGCCTGGGCAACAGAGCGAGACTCCGTCTCAAAAAAAAAAAAAAAGAGATATTCAGCCTCACTCATAAAATATGAATGCCAGTTAAACCACACTGAAACATCGCTTTCACCTATCAAATTGGCAAAAATCTAAGAGCTTGGTAACATATCCTGTCACTAAGGCCATCAAAAAACAGACCCTCTCACACATTGTTGGTGGAAGTGTAAATTGGTCAAACGCCTGTGGCAATTTAGCAGTGTCTATCAAAATTATAATGCATGTACATTTGTTCCAGCAGTCCCACTACTAGCAATTTATTTTATGAATATTCCCATGTAAGTGTGAAATGATCAGGGATAAGGTTATCTATTCCAATATTATTAGAGGATATTCTGAGTATATTCAATATTTGATAAAGTAAATTTTAAAATAATTTAATAAAAACCATTTTATTAAAATATTTTATTGTGGTAAGAACACCTAACGTGAGCTCTACCCTCTTAACAAATGTTTTAAGTGCATTACGCATTATTGTTGACTAGAAGAAAACTCTGTTTTTGAAATAATAAAGGAAATAAATTGTTAGAAATACCCAAGAGGAAGATTCTGAGAGTGAATCCTGAAAACACTGTCATTTTGTAACTCCGGCTCTCCATCTGGGTCTGCAGAGTTTTAAAATGCATTCCCCACAAAAGCCTGAGGGCTGAATGAGAAGCTACTTCTCCAAAAGCCTGTATCCCTCAACAAACAAGCTCGCCCCTGTGGCAAAGCACACCCTCTGGTTTTACTGCTTACGCAGAGCCGTTGCTTAATTGACAGATGGTGCCGCTGTGAAAATACAGCCATGTGGGAGAGAAATAAATCAATAAGAAAGAAGACTGAAACACTCTCTCCAGATTCTTTTTTATTCTAGTGAATGTGAATCAGGATTTTCTAATAAAAATCAAGTTAAAAAAATTTATGGCAGGTGTGCTACATATTGAGCGGTTTCAGGACAATATCAGAACTGGCTGTGGCTACAATGAAAAACATTTTACAGGCTGTTTGTAAAAGCTGGTCACCCCCCAGCCTGGCCAACACAGTGAAACCCTGTCTCTACCAAAAAAATACAAAAATTAGCCAGGCTTGGTGGTGCGCAGCCTGTAATCCCAGCTACTCAGGAGGCTGAGGCAGGAGAATCACTTGAACCTGGGAGGTGGAGGTTGCAGTGAGCCGAGATGGCACCACTGCACTCCAGCCTGGGTGACAAAGTGAGTCTCTGTTTCAAAAAAAAAAAAAAATGCTGGTCACCTCGATCTTTATCGCAATGAAGAAAAGACAACACATGTTTTAACAGCCTTCATCCCCCTAATTAGCTTATTTTTTTAGCATGCAGTTAATTTGAAAACTTTATTTAAACGTAAATTGAGTGGATCAGTGTGGAAAGGTAAGTCGATACACAGCAGATTAAAGATAACAAAAAGAAACAAGTGACCTATATTTTCAGAACTTTTCCAGAATGATCGTTTGTTTTGTTTGATCAGTGCTAGAGAAAGAAGTGGCTGGAAGTTGGCAAAAGAACAAGTGGGAAACTGTAAAACGGCCTGTCTGAAATCTGTTCTTTTTTGTGGTTATTTGGGCCAGGCTGACTCCTCATTGCCAGCACTTCTCACATCAAGCACCCGGTCCACCACAAATATGCACATCTCGTCACATGCCGGTGACATTACATGCCCTCCAGTGGGTAAGCTTTCTTCACTTTGTCTAAATCTTTTGGAATTACAGCAACCAATTGACTGGATGTGATGGTTTCTATAATTTTTCATCTAGTGACTGAGAAAAAAAAAACCCTGACGTTTGAAAAGAGCCACTTTAAAAAGTTGTAAACAAGCATGAAGAGGCTTTCCTGGGTCATTAGCTGATTTTTATTTTGCAAAATGCATTCCCTGGAGACTTTCTAAGAAACTACTGTGCTTAATACCAAACTCATAAAAAGCTAGAAATTAGCTTTAATTGTTTAAAAATGGCCATCAATCATCTAAAGCCAGGATTGCTGTAATTTATGAAAATATCTTTATAAAGTATTTAAGATATTGTGGAATAATATATAGTTATAGATACACTAAGCTCAACAGTACCAACAGGCTAGCTCCAAATTTCCCCCAAAAGCTAAAGTTTTCCCTTTTTTGTACAGGAAGTTGGAAAAAAAAAAAACGAAAAATAGAGCTTTATTTTACTGAGAGGCAAGCAAGATTTTACTTACTATTTTTTTCTTCTGGAATATTCCATTTAATATTGGCGAAATGCATATTTCATAACAAAAGGAGAAACAAAAGAAAATTGTCATGAAAACAATGCCTACATGAAGTTAAAATGCTGCCGTCTAAAACACTATGTACCTGTTTATTCCCTCTCATAATGCAAGCTTTATTTCAGGAAAACCACACTCAGCTCCATCTCTCTGTGCCTAGGAGGGCTGGGTTGTCAATGTCAGGGAGGAGAAGAAAACCCAAGACAGGTTGAGCTGAGGTCAGGTACTTGGAGACGCCAAAGCCTGGTACAAAGTAGAAAAGCAGATTTAAGGATGGTCTGAGGTCAGAAAATGAGTCAAGAGCCAGATACACCAAGTTCAAACCAGGACAAGCCAAAAACCAGAGGCTTCGTGACAAATCTAAGAACAAATGAGACAGGGATATATGAATCGGCAAGTTAAACGAGACTAAGAAGCACATCAAATGGGTGTAGCTAAATCTACACAGACACTTTGTTCAGTGGCAGGACCTCTTCCTCCACCAGCAGGCTTTCACCAGTCTTAAAGGAGCAGTATTCTGAAAATATTATGGAAGGGACCAAAACAACTAATATAAGATGAAGACTTGGTTATGCAAAAATGCACCACCACTACAATCCCCAAAAGGAAGGTCTACAAGGAGCACACAAGCTAAAGATTGCCATTGCTATTGTTAGAACAATAAATTATATGTGACTATTATTTAGCACCCTTGAACACACAAAATAAGACTGATGTAACATTTAGCCCATAAAGTATTCATTCAAAATATTTATTGAGTACTTACAGCCAGGCACTGTGCTGAAAGCTGGGGATAAAAAGTTAAGCAGAATGTAGTCTGTGCTCTCAAGAAATTCACAGAGAAAGAGAAAAGAAGCGATTCCAATACAGTGTAATAAGTACACTGCAAGGGGTAAATCATGGGGTGTAAAGATAGAAGGATGATGACAGCTTCCCAAGGACAGGAAATCTAAGCTGAGAACTGAAGGAGTGACGCAGGACAGCTGGCGGGAGAACTTCTCTCCTTTATGTTTAATTACTGTCCAGAGCCATGGAGAATTTAGAGATAACACAAAAAAGACAATTAAATGAATGAAGGCCTCAAAAATATGACCATCTGCAGGGAGTGAAAGCAGTAGCATGGTCTGATCTTGAGTACTGTTAAAAGTAGAATTTTCAAAATGTTAAAACAACACATATACATAAGAGCATATGTCAAGGTTATTTTCAGCTCGCTAATGAGGGAACAAACAGAATGACAAAATGATTCAAAGGCAGATGCAAGAAACGAATGTACATATTTCCCATCAAAGAGAAGGCTAGAATAAAATTATTAAATACTAAAACTCATCATTGTTCTACAGAGCAATAAACTATAATCTTTAGGGTTTTTTCTCTAATGAACAGAAATAATTGGCATTATTATTAGACAAAAATAATTTTTATTGTAACAATTTACTACATATTAACATCTAACTTTTGTTGCAAAAATGCCTGGGCCCTATTCATTAGCCAATAGGAAGTTAAATTGTATTCTCCAAGAGAGTCAGGTGATCCTTACACAGGCTTGTTAAGTGAACCCCTAGCCTAACAATAAAATTCACACCACCATCTTTCTCGCTACCTTCTATGTGTTGGATCATTTTGTTTAGTAACCTCCAAGAATGTTTAGCCTCTGAAATGTACCTAGTATGAAGACATCCCACAAGGAGAGTTGTGATCTTCCTCAATCTCCCCAAACAGACTAAAGGTTATAGGAAAATAGATTTCTTCTATCTGATTCTAAGGCGTAAGGATGATAAGAACCACCCACATTCTGGCTGGGCGTGGTGGCTCACGCCTGTTATCCCAGCACTTTGGGAGGCCAAGGCGGGTGGATCACCTGAGGTCAGGAGTTCGAGACCAGCCTGACCAACATGGCAAAACCCTGTCTTTTACCAAAAATACAAAAAATTAGCTGGGCATGGTGCCGGGCACCTGTAATCTCAGCTACTCGGGGGGCTGAGGCAGGAGAATCACTTGAACCCAGGAGATGGAAGTTGCAGTGAGCTGAGATCGTGCCACTGCACTGCAGCCTGGGCGACAAGAGTGAAACTCCGTCTCAAAAAAAAAAACCGCCCACATTCCAAGCAGCGTTGTTACACTGTTTTTCTCATTTAATCATATCACCAATCCCATGCAGTAGGTTTGACTACATTGAATTTGTATACTTGAGGAAACAAAGGGTCACAGAAAATAAATAACTTGCCCAAATATAAATTTAAAAAGCTATTTGAAAGGGCAGCTAGGCAGTATCAATCCAAATTTAAAACATGCATATCCTCTGACCCAATTCATTCTTTAGAATCTATCCTAAAGAAATGTTTACTGCTGGGTACAGTGGCTCACGCCTGTGGTCCCTCAGCTACCCTCACCTACCTGGGAGGCTGAGGCCGAAGGATTGCTTGAGCTCAGGAGTTCAAGGCTGCAGTGAGCTAGGGTGGCGCCACTGTACTCCAGCCTGGGCAAGAAAGCAAAACCCTGTATTAGCAAAGGAATAGGAAAGAAGGAAGGAAGAAAGTGTGACAAATCTGAGTCATCATAAGAGGATATGGATAAATAAATTAAAATATACCCACATTATGGGATATTAAGCCATATTAAAAAGGAATGAGATACATCCACACTTACCTCCAAGATATACTGTTCAGCAAAAGAAGCAACTTTCATGATAATGTATACATGTAAACAAAAATATGCTCTAAAAGCTGGAAAGGATGTAGCTCAACTGTTAACAGTGGTTATCTCAGGCAAGGGGAGGAGGCATGGGGGAAGCAGGGGAAGGTAAGAGTGGGAGGAGGAGAGGTTTGTATTTCATCCTATAGTCATATATTTCTAGAACCATTTATGATGGCAATGTATTACTGACATAATTTTTTAGATAATGAATGTTATGGGTTGCGGAAGGATAACTTGCTGGAGATTACCCAAGTAGTAAAAGCAATTTACATTGGGATTCAAACTCAGGTCTGACTAATTTTTTTTTTTTTTTTCTGTGACATAGTCTTGCTTTGTCACCCAGGCTGGAGTGCAATGGCATGATCTCGGCTCACTGCAATCTCCACCTCCCAGGTTGAAGCAATTCTCCTGCCTCGGCCTCTCAAGTAGCTGGGATTACAGGCTCCTCCCACCACGCCTGGCTAATTTTTGTATTTTTAGTAGAGATGAGGGTTTTGCCATGTTGGCCAGGCTGGTCTCAAACTCCTGACCTCGTGATCCGCCCACCTTGGCCTCCCAAAGTGCTGGGATTACAGGCGTGAGCCACCACACCTGCCCAGGTCTGACTAATTTTTAAAACTGTAGCCTTTGCAAATTATCATTTACCTCACTAATCATCCAGGACTGCATTTGCTACGGGAATGTTCTTGAGGATGTGTTTGCCACATCTGTCAGGAAGAAAATTCCTTTAGAGTTAAGGGCTGGTGACCGGCTTTGCCTCTCCTAAGACACTGGTATGGTTTGTTTGTCTTTTCCTCCAGGACAATGAGAATTCTGTATGAAAATCTAACTGCTTATCTTGATCACCAAGAAACTCAGAGTCAAATCTACCACCTAACTGTCATAATCTGGTTTCATGGTAGGTCCTCAGTCAAGAAGTGAGTGACAGTAAAGTCCAAGTCCACGTCAAAATAGGACCTGCCAAGTCAGACTCAGCCTATTAGACCCTATCTCCTTTAATCCCCTCGGAAAACGTCAGGAGCCGTTCTAACAGCAAATTCTCAAGCTTGAGTATGCTTAAGAATCACCTGAGATTAATCACTAAAAATACAGATTCCCGGCCAGACACGTATCCTGGTCAGGCACGGTGGCTCACACCTGTAATCCCAGCACTTTGGGAGGCCAAGGTGAGTGGATCACCTAAGGTCAGGAGTTCGAGACCAGCCTGACCAACATGGAGAAACCCCATCTCTATTAAAAATACAAAAAATTCGCCAGGCATGGTGGCACATGCCTGTAATCCCAGCTACTCGGGAGGCTGAGGCAGGAGAATCGCTTGAACCCAGGAGGTAGAAGTTGTGGTGAGCCAAGATCGTGCCATTGCACTCCAGCCTGAGCAACAAGAGCAAAACTCTGTCAAAAAAAAAAAAAAACACTTCAAACAGATTTCTGGGTAGACATTCTCAGGGTTTAACAAGGAAGTGGGCTAATTACTTTTAATTAGTTGTGGTAGAGTAGAGTAGGGGAAGTGGTTATCTCTGTACCCAAGTTTGACTTGAAAGGCCACACGGGTAGATGTATCCAGCTTTTGAAGATTCCCTCAATCCACCTCTGCAGGTGCACACCCTCCACCCTAGTTCACCAGCCTTGCTGATTTGGGTCCTCAAAACAAGATGTTCTGCCCTCTCTTCCCTTTCATCTCCTCATACCCAAATCCTGGCTCTGAGGGATTTTGACCCTGACCTCATTTATTTGATCTTTCTCCTTACCTTAAACTTGGTAACTTCTGCAGTTTGTAAAGTTAGAATCTCTGTTTGCTTGCTCTGTCTTCCAAAGCCTTTCTTCTTAGGGGTTAAACATCAATTGGCTCCTAAATATACCTGGAGTTTACAGTCCTCCTCCCTCACTGGAAGAGGGTTTTAGATGACAGTGATAAGGGGGATAGCATAGCTCTCAGCTGTGGCTGGGCTTCTTTTCAAAGTGTGTGTGTGTGTGTGTGTGTGTGTGTGTGTGTGTGTGTGTGTGTGTGTGTGTGTGTGTGGTCCAGTTCCCACAGGTGCACGGCCCTGAGTCTCAAAGTCACAGTGCTCATACCCAGTGTCCGATGAGGACTGACAGTCTCAGAACTCTCTAAATGCCTTTTGCTTTTCCTACAAATGACTGTGAACTGAATCTACTGGCATAACATAGGAAACTGAAAAGCCTCAATCTCAGAGGGATAATTATTTAAAAGCTAGAGCTCATTCCATCCTTAGGGTATGAGTCCCTTATCTTTGTAACTTAATTAGCTGGAATCCAATGAGCTTAATTGATATATTAGAAACATAAAAATAATCACTAATATGATTTATTACAACTTGAATTGAAAGCCTAACTCTGTCCCTTCTGAACTATAATTAATTTGTGTTTGTTGTTAAATATGAGTATATTTTGAGTATATCAAAATACATTAGAGGCCGGGTGCAGTGGCTCATGCCTGTAATCCCAGCACTTTGGGAGGCTAAGGCAGGTGGATCACTTGAGGTCAGGATTTTGAGACCAGCCTGGCCAACATGGCAAAACCCCATCTCTACTAAAAATACCAAAATTAGCCGGGCGTGGTGGCAGGTGCCTGTAATCCCAGCAACTTAGGAGGCTGAGGCAGGAGAATTGTTTGAACCCAGGAGGCAGAGGTTGCAATGAGGCGAGATTGTGCCATTGCACTCTAGCCTGGGCGACAGAGTGAGACTCCATCTCAAAAACAAAAACAAACAAAAAGAAAACAAAATACACTAGAGATCTGAAGACACATAATGAGGTTGCAATTAGGTATGCCAGGGGGCACTATGTCGCAAAGTTTACATTTTACTCTTACTTCTGGCTTGGGACGAAATTTTGAATGAATTTTTTTTAGCATAAAATCGTGTCTTTTAAGGGTTTTATACTTTCACGGTACACTTCTCATTTTTTTCTTCATCTTCGGTTCATCATTGGCCCATCTTTTCCCACTCCTTTTCACTCTACGCTACTTCTCTCTTTTTTTAATGTTTCTCTTCCTCTTTAGTAGTTTCTCTCCTCATTTAACCTTTCCCTAAGTCCAGGATGAAACTTTTGCTTTTTGAAATGACATATATGCTAATTACTGTAAGGTAAGATATACCCAAGGTATCAAGAGAGTACATGTGCTGAAAATGATATCCATCAATATGCACAGAGACCACATTTTCTGAGCCAAAATTGGCATATGTGTTCCAGTAAGTATGAGGAGGTTTTGGCAAGCAGCAGAATAAAATTTTTAAATTGAGACTTAATGCAATAAAATTCAGGTATCATAGTCTCGGTAAGTGTATCATATGAAGAAGATCTCAAATGCACCAGCTCGTGCACTTAAGAGACTCCTCATACAGCCTGCCACGGTGTTTCTTCACTTCTCGGACATAAACCTCCTAACATTAGTATCCTTCCTCTAGGTTATACAATGAAAATGAGTGCATTGTATCTACAAAGCCCTTATTAAATGAATATATTTACCTTGGCAAGAAGGGACCTCTCTTGGTTTCCTTATTGGTTCATTGGCATAAATTGGTTTATAGTGCTGTCTTGGGAGGCTCAATGACCATATCTAGAGCATGAAACTAATATATATTAATTGGGGGAACAGAGAAGATAGGGGGTACACAGCAGCAGAGGACAAGGCAAGGCCAGTTGGGGTGCCTAACCATGAAGCCAGGAGTGAGGAAAGAAAGATGACCTTGGGAGGGGACTGGCCTGGCCCCAGAGACCATGTCACTGTTTGGCCAAGTTGCAGGAAGAAAGTTATTCGTTTTTCTTTTTTGCCCTCTCCATCTCTACCCTCACATCTTCATCATCTTTCTGTCCTCCTATCTTGTCTCTCTCTGCCAGATTTGTGTCTTAGAAAAAGAGCTCATAGATTTACAGAATGATGGAGCTGAAAAGGGAACTCCAGAGTTATCTCCAACCTCTTGAATGAACAAACCATTAAGGAGCCTGGAGCCCAGAGAAGTAACATAACTCACCCTGCTATAAAGCGGCAGAGGCTTATCTTGAAAGTAGCCCAACAGTCAAGGCATTTTCATCAACACCATGCCTCTCTGGAAGAATTTTTAGGACAGTTAGAAAATAGTAACAAAACATTATACCCTGTCAGGAGAGACAAGAGGGAAGGAAATGAGTGGCTTATAGAAAAAAGAAGAGGGGGCCAGGTGTGGTGGCTCATGCCTGTAATCCCGGCACTTTGGGAGTCCAAGGCAGGTGGATCACGAGGTCAGGAGTTCAAGACCAGCCTGGACATCATGGTGAAACCCCGTCTCTACTAAAAATACAGAAAAAAAAATAGCTAGGCATGGTGGCAGGAGCCTATACCAAGCTACTCGGGAGGCTGAGGCAGAGAATTGCTTGAACCCAGGAGGCGGAGGTTGCAGTGAGCTGAGACTGAGCCACTACACTCCAGCCTGGGTGACAGAGCAAGACTCTGTCTCAAAAAAAAAGCGGGGGGGGGGGGGCGGTAATAGGAAGAAGAAAATAGAGTAAGAGAAAAGGAGAAAAACAAGATGGATGGAGAGGTAGAGACATGATGCCACCTTCTAATAAGCCTCTGTTAAGTTATTTAAAATAATGCTGTGGATTCCACTCCTTAGGTATTTACCCCAGAGAAATGAAAACAATACACCAACATATTTGTATAGTTAGGTCCCTAGGAACTTCATATATAATATTTAAAAACTGTAAACTGACCAAATGTCCATTAAAAGGAAAATGAACAAATTATAATACATCCATACCATGGAATGCTGGCCAGAAATACTGCCAATATACCCATGAACATGGATGAATCTCACAGACATCATGCTGAGCAAAGAAAATCAGACTCCAAGGAGTACATACTCTATGGTTCTAATTATGCAAAGTTCTAGAGCAGATGAAAGTAATTTGTAGTGGAAAACAATCAGAGAATAGTAATTGTTTGGGGTAGGTGGAGGATGGTGATCCTGATAGGGATTAACTTGGAAGAGGCATGAGGAGAACTTTCTGGTATGATGAGAGTGTCCTGTATCTTGACATGGGTTTGGGTTACACACATGAATACATTTGTCAAAACTCATGGGAAAATATACTTAAGATCTGTGTATTTCATTGTGTATAAATTTTATCTCAAGAGAAAAAAAAAAACACCAAAAAACCAAACCCTAGTTAATGGTATGCGTGTTCAAGTGCTTAGAGCTGAAGCTACTTGCTTTGAAATGCATCCAAAAAATAAGATGGATTGATGGATGGAGAGATAGAAGATATGGGATAAATCAGGCATGTATATTAAAATGTTAGTTTTATAGTCCAAGTGGTGGGTATATGGGCAGTCCTTATAAAATTCTGTCCACTTTTCTGTGTGTTTAAAATTTTTTATTTTAAAATGTTAAGGAAAAACTTACTAAAGGACATAGTACATGATATGGTTTGGATCTGTGTTCCCACCCAAATCTCATGTCGAATTGTAATCCCCGATGTTGAAGGTGGGGCCTGGGGGAGGTGATTGGATCATGGGGGCAGTTTCTCATGAATGGCTTAGCACAATTCCCTTAGTGCTGTTCTTGTGATAAAGTTCTCACAAGATCTGGTTGTTTAAAAGTATGTGGCACCTCCCCCTTTTCTCTCTCTCTCTCTTTTTTTTTTTTTTTCGAGACAGTCTCACTCTGTTGTCCAGGCTGGAGTGTAGTGGCGCAATCTTGGCTCACTGCAGCCTCTGCCTCCTGGGTTCAAGCAATTCTTGTGCCTCAGCCTCCCAAGTAGCTGGGACTACAGGTGTGTGCCACCAAGCCTGGCTAATTAATTTTTGTATTTTTAGTACAGATGGGGTGTCACCATGTTGGCCAGGCTGGTCTCGAACTCCTGACTTCAGGTGATCTGCCTGCCTCAGCCTCCCAAAGTGCTGGGATTACAGACGTGAGCCACCATGGCTAGCCCCCCTTTCCTCTATTGCTCCTGCATCTGCCACGTAAGATGTGTCTGCTTCCCCTTCTTCTGCCATGATCGTAAGTTTCCTGGGGCCTCCCCAGAAGCCACTATGCTTCCTGTACAGTCGGCAGAACCATGAGCCGATGAAACCTCTTTTCTTTATAAATTACCCCGTCTCAGGTATTTCTTTACAGCAATGCAAGAACTGACTAATACAGTACATAAGAAGGAAGAAAGGTTAGAATGGCATGCATGAGGATTTTTAACTGGAATTGTCACTTAACATAGGTGTGGAGAGAGATAATGAGGATAAGGAAGGGTGGGACATCAGAAGATCAGACACTTCCATCTCACCATTTTATTTCAGGCTGCTCTGTTTGTCTTTTACAAACACAGAAACAGCTGGTATTTCCAGAGGAAGCTCTAGAAATGTCAAGTCAAGCCTCCTAAGCTCCTCCTCCAGTCTTTTTTGCATACCTTCCTACCTGCCTTTTCTGCCTTTCTCATATTCTGCACTACTCATGGTCAAACTGTGATTGGTACAACCTTAATATTTTTATCGATTGTCATAACCACGGGTCATTCACTTTTCCAAGTGATCTGTATGCTACATTAACTTCTGCTCCAGTCAGACACTGAGTTCTAACAGCTAGTGTAAGAAACAGCTTAGCATGTGGATCTGAGCTGGTCCTGGTTGAGTTTTGATGGGCAGAATTACCTTGCGGTTTGAACTCTGGGACGTGGGACTTTGAGTGCCAAACCCAGAATGAGTTAGTCATCCTATCATTGGCAGCTGACAACTCACATTCATAACAGTTCAAGTATATTTCTAAACTAAGATAGTGAGTTAATTCAATGTATTTTACATTTTACTTAGTATCGTATATAATTGTTTTTAATGCGTAAATATCTGATAATGTTTAAATCAAATTCTGTAGATAAAATGCCCTGAAACACAAACTGTCTTACCAAAAATTGGCTGAAAACCCACATGTATTTATGATATAGTTCATGAGAACTAACACGTGTAAATGAAGCAAAAGAGTGTGGTCTGGCCTCAGGTGTGTGCTGTTCACTCGTGGGAGGCCCCAGGCCCCACCTCGGATGGCTCAGGGCATGAGCCCAGACTCTACCCTTGGGCTGTTACTGTACTGCACAGCTCTGCTAAAAAAGAAAATATACCTTTCCTTTGATTGGTATTTTTCTTTTTCATTACGAATTAAGGCAACAATACTGATTTCTAGGAATCAAATGTAAAAAGCATTATCTTTTCTTTAAAATCAAACTCATATAGCTAGTTATGTGTATTGTAACTATTCAATAAATAGTCACAGGGATGACAAAATTCAATGTAAGTTGATAATAGATCGCTCCATTAAATTCCTCTTTCGCCCAGGCTGGAATGCAGTGGTGTGACCTCGGCTCGCTGCAACCTCCACACACCACCCCCCCGCCGCCACAACCGTTTCCAGTGATTCTCCTGCCTCAGCCTCCTGAGTAGCTGGGACTACAGGCACCCACCACCACACCCAGCAAATATTTGTATTTTTAGACAAGACTGGGTTTCGCCAGGCTGATCTCAAACCCCTGACCTCAGGTGATCCGCCTGTCTTGGCCTCCCAAAGTGTTGGGATTACAGGCATAAGCCACAGCACCTGGCTGAAATTCCTATTTGAAACATAGCCTACCATCTAATGAAAAAGAATTACTAACTCCATACTAATATGAGACACTTTTTCTGTGGATTATGGTAGCAAGTAGTACTCATGTAAAAACACCTGGTCTTCTGGCTTTATTTGTAATTTTTTTTTTTAAGACAGGGCCTCACTCTGTCATCCAGGCTGGAATGTAGTGTTGCAATCATGGCTCACTGCAGCCTTGACCTCCTGAGCTCAAGTGATCCTCCCACCTCAGCCTCCCAAGTAGCTGGGACTATAAGCACACGTCAGCACACTCTGTTCATTTTTGTATTTTTTGTAGAGACGAGGTGTCACCATCTTGCCCAGGGTGGTCTCAAACTTCTGGGCTCAAGCGATCCAACTGCTTTGGCCTCCTAATGTGCTGGAATTACAGGCGTGAGCCACTGCACCCGGCCATCTCCTGGCTTTAAATATGGGAAGTGAAATATACATTTTGAAGGAATCTGTAGATGCTCCTGTACTTTCCCCAAGCCTGGATGACATGGATGGTTTCTTTCCAGTAGAAGACCAATAAAATACTCAGGGGTAAAGGACATAAGGCAGATGCCCCGGCACCAGAATGCCTGGTGTGCCTAAGACATCCACCTGCCCTGACTCATTTCACATGGAACAGCAGGACCGGGATGTAAATGAGAATCGCATAGTGCTTGGCTTGTAGCTCTCCTGAGGAACTTCCCATATTGGTTTCTCATCCATCACACCCTGAATGTGTGATGTTCCTTTATGCCTCTGAGTTTGTAGGTGCTGCACCTTCTTCCTAGAAACCCTGGCCACCCTTCATCTGCTGTGCAAATCCCTGGTCATCCTAAAGACTTATCTTAAACAACACCTCCTCCGTGAAGCCTCCCTAAAGTGTTCAGCTCATGCAAGCAGAATGAGGTGCTTTCTCTTCTGCTCCTCCAAGTTTCTTGATCATTCTATTATAGCACATGAATAACACCAAAATTATCTGTACACATGTCTTTCTCTGCACTAAACTGTAACTTTGTGAATGTGCACGTGGTAGACATCATGGTCAGGAAGCTGCAGGAATGAATGATTATATCTATTTATGTTGGTCCTTTTTCTCCAGTTCCTAATTATATGCCTCAAGAATATGGGTACAGGTTGTTCTTATTCATTTCCTACACCTTGCAAGTTATAACACATTGTCTTGTACATAGGCAAAAATAAAGACTTGAATGAATGAGATGTCATAGCAATAACCATATCTGCAAAACTGACAAAAGCTTATTTCAACTTCTCCTGTGCTATTTTAATCCAGAATCCATAGTATTTTTCACTCAAAAAGGAAAATACCAAAGTTCTCAAAATAGAAGGAAAGAATAAAGAAAATAATAATACTATAAAAGAAATAAAACAAAAGGAATAAATAGCAATCACTAAAGAATTTTCCAGATTTGTGTAAGGTAAGAGGAGACTAAGATCCAGACCACTGGTGGCTTTAAAAGTCACACACTCTGTGCTGACATACTAGAGGTGTCCAGATTTTCAGGACCTCAGGAACAATTTTGACACCCAGGCCTCTTGCCAGATTGAACTGTAGGTGGAGCCTCTTTATGTCATCTTTTCTCCACATCCTGGCTGTTTTTTTTCCCGCCCCTATTCCTCACATACAGAGCTGAGGGTATAAACTGGCAGCCCAACCCACAAACCTGTTTACTCACACAGTGGTTTTATGTTTTTAAATTAGCTGCCAATATGGAAAGAGTGGGGAAGTTCGCATAAACGTTCCCAACTTCAGATTCCCAACTTCCCTTAGAAAATCACATCTGGACAATCCTAGGGCCTCATTCCCATGTGGCAGTGATCAGCTGAGCTGAGTAACAGTGGTCCCCATTCAATGAGGATGGCCTCTCCAGGGCCATGGTTACCTGCTTCATCAATCCCCTTCACCCTCCTCACCCTCTTAGGCAGACGAGTACGCGCCTCCGGTGCACTGGAAACCTCAGGCAAACGCCCAGCGTGCAGGGCTAGGGTTGCATATTGACGCAGACTCCAGGCTCTCCAGGCTGCTGTTGACCGTCCTAGTCTTCCACCAGGCCCCATGGAAAACTTGTATAAGTCATTGCCCCTCTCTGGGACTCAGTTTCCTCATAAGCCAACTGCAGATACACAAAAGAGTTCATCATTTATTTATTAAAGTGCCAATAAATTCAAACTTTCTGAGTCTGCATCCAAATGTCTCACCTTGCCCATAAACTTTATGGCTGATGACGCCCCTAAAAATGTAGGTTTTTTAAAAAATGTAACCTTTTATTTGTCGCCGTGAGGTGGGGCTTATGCGGCGGCGTGGTGAAATAGATGCGGCGACCGAGGGGGATGTGGAGCTGGAGTTAGAGACTGAGACCCGTGGCCCAGAGCGGCCTCCCGAGAAGCCACGGAAACATGACTGACAGCAGTGCGGCGGACTTGGAGCGGGTCACCGACTATGCAGAGGAGAAGGAGATCAGAGTTCCAATCTGGAGACGGCCATGTCTGTGACTGGAGACAGAAGGTCCCGGGAGCAGAAAGCCAAACAGGAAGGGAAGAAAGAACTGGCAATAGGCAGTATCAAGAAGGAAGATCTGGAGCTGGTAATGACCGAGATGGAGATATCTCGAGCAGCAGCGGAAGGCGGCTTGCGGGAACACATGGGCAACGTGGTAGAGGCGCTTGTTGCTCTAACCAACTGATGTGTGCTTTCTCAGATATACCTACTGGATTAATTTATGGCGATAAAATTTCTTTGTCTTTAAAAAAAAGTAACCATTTTTAATGACACTGACCCGCGCCCCCAAAGCCATGAGGAGGTCACCAGTGATCTCCTAAGTACCTAATGATCCCTGTCTTTTCTCAGTTCTCACCTCTGAAAGCTACCAACATTCCATCCTTCTTGAAACCTTCTCCTTCACTGGCTTCCATCAATTTCTATTTTCTGGATGGCCTGCCCTTCTCTGACTACTCCTGTATTTTCTTCCTTTTTTCTTTACCAAATATAGAAATTCCCTAATGTTCAGTCCATCCTCCAACCTCTTTCCAATGGCTATTCTCTTTTTCAGGAAATGTACTCACTACCATGGCTTTAGTCACAGCCTCTCTGTGGGTAACTCCTCTCTCTTGAGCTCGAAACCACATTGTCAATGAACTCTTACCATTTCTTCCCTGCACCCCATCCTTTACTCGATATTGGCATGTCCAAAAATATTAGGCTGGTGCAAAAGTAATTGCAGTTTTTGCCATTAAAAGTAATTACCAGGAGAATCGCTTGAACCCAGGAGGTGGAGGTTGCAGTAAGCCAAGATTGGGCCATTGCACTCCAGCCTGGGCAACAGGGCGGGACTGCCTCAAAAAAAAAAAAAAAAAAATTTCCTTTGCACCAGCCTAATAAAATATCCAAATCCAAACCCAGTGGGGTGGATATCAACTGTTTCTGTCTGCCCTGCATTTCTGTTTTCACCGGAGATCTACAAAACTGTCAATCAAAATTTCCTACCTGGCCTAAATGGAGGGAACGCAAACCAAAGCTTCACCATCAGTGGTACCCCATCTTCCTGTCCGCAGTGATAGGGCCAAGGAGTAAGCACCTGCCCTAAGTGGGATTTGGCATATGGAGACGAGAGGGAGTCGTCTTAGATCATGAACTGTGAAGATGCTGCGGCTGTCTTCCCTGGCCACATGGAAGCTTCAGAAGGAAGGCACGGCACCCAAAGAAAAGCAAACCAGAGCCCCCGAGTGCCTAGGACCAGGAGCGTCCAAAGCCCGATGCAAGACCCTGGGTCTCACTATTAGAGCAGTAACCAATTCCATTTGTCCATAAGCTAGTTTGATTGCATTTTTGTCAGTCATCAAAAGAGCCCTCTTGGCCAGGCATAGCAGTTCACACTGGTAATCCCAGCATTTTGCGAGGCTGAGGCAGGAGGATCGCTTGACCCCAGGAGTTCGAGACCAACCTGAGCAACATAGTGAGACCTTGTCTCTACAAATAATTAAAAAATTAGCCAGGTGTGATGGTGTGTATCTGTAGTCCCAGCTGCTCAGGAAGCTGAGGCAGGAGGATTGCTTGAGCTTAGAAGGTCGAAGCTACAGTGAGCTATGATTGTGCCACTGCACTCCAGCCTAGGTGACACAGCAGTGCTCTGTCTCAAAAATTAAAAACAAATAAAAAAAGAGCCTTCTTTTATTACCTCATTCTCCCAGTGTATTAGTCCATTTTCATGCTGCCGATAAAGACATACCCAAGACTGGGAAGAAAAAGAGGTTTAATTGGATTTACAGTTCCACACGGCTGGGGAGGCCTCAGAATCATGGTGGGAGGCGAAAGGCACTTCTTACATGGCAGCAGCAAGAGAAAATGAGAAAGAAGCAAAAGCGGAAACCCCTGATAAACCCATCAGATCTCATAAGACTTATTCACTATCACGAGGATAGCATGGGAAAGACGACCGGCCCCCATGATTCACTTACCTCCCCCTGGGTCCCTCCCACAACAAACGGGAATTCTGGGAGATACGATTCAAGTTGAGATTTGGGTGGGGACACAGCAAAACCATATCACCTAGTTAACAGGTCATAAAAATTGAAGGCATCTTTAACTCTCTCCTCTCCTTTCCTCCAATATTCAATTTGCAACCAAGTCTTGAAATTCCATTTCTATAATCATTGCCACAATCCCAGTCTCTTCTCAACCTCATTGCTACTATCCAAGCTAACAGCCTCATATACCTTTCTAAAGACTTTTGCAGTAGTCTACTAACTGGTCTCCCACCTCCAGACTCTACCCACCCCTGAGACCACTGTTAGATCCATTTTCCTAAATCGTAAGTCTAGTTACCTAATCCCCCCTTTTAAAAAGTTTCTGTGGGTATCCATTGCATCCAAAATAAGAAAAGATGTCTGTCTTCATTTGCTGGGGCTGCCATAACAAAGTACCACAGACTGAGTGACTTAAACAACAGAAATGGATTTTCTCACATTTCTGGAGGCTGAGACCAAGGGGTCTTCAGGGTTGGTTTCTTCTGAGGCCTCCATCCTTGGCTTGCAGATGGCTGTCTTCTCCCTGTGTGTTTTCATGGCCTTCCCTCTGTATCTGTCCGTGTCCCAATTTCCTCTTCTTAGAAAGACACCAGTCACCTGGAATTACAGCCTACCCCAATGGCCTCGTTTTAACTTAATTACCTCCTTAAAGACCCCATCTCCCAATGCAGTCTCATTCTGCAGAATTGGGAGCTACAATCTTAGCACATGAATTTGGTGGGGCAATGGTGGAGAGACACAATTTGGCCCATAACAATTCCTCATTCCGATTTCTTTTTTTCTTTTTTTTTGAGATGAAGTCTCACTCTGTTGCTCATGCTGGAGTGCAGTGGCGCAATCTCGGCTCACTGCAACCTCCACCTCCTGGGTTCAAGCAATTCTCGACCCCCGCCTCCGGAGTAGCTGGGATTACAGGCACCCACCATCATGCCTGGATAATTTTTGTATTTTTAGTAGAGATGGGTTTTACCATGTTAGCCAGGCTGGTCTTGAACTCCTGACCTCAAGTGATCTACCCACCTCAGCCTCCCAAAGTGCTGGGATTATAGGCATGAGCCACCACGCCCAGCCTTCTCAAATTTTTTTTCTTTTCTTTTCTTTTCTTTTTTTGAGACAGAGTCTCACCCTGTCGCCCAGGCTGGAGTGCAATGGCACGATCTCAGCTCACTGCAACCTCTGCCTCCCAGGTTCAAACGATTCTCCTGCCTCAGCCTCCTGAGTAGCTAGGATTACAGGCACCCAACACCATGCCCAGCTAATTTTTGTATTTTTAATAGAGACAGGGTTTCACCATGTCAGCCAAGCTGGTCTCGAACTCCTGACCTCATGATCTGCCCACCTCGGCCTCCCAAAGTGTTGGGATTATAGGCGTGAGCCACCACACCCAGCCTCAAGTTTCTTAATATGACTCCAAATTAACATTTTCAACCCTACCAAATTTATCTGCTTGGAATATGCATTCCCTTCCTATCTCCATCTCATATCTCTGTTCATCAGAACCCTTCCCATCCTTCAAAGTCCTTCACAAATGCCCTGTCCTCTAAGCTGTCCTGCTTTCTGGATGGGACTTTCTCTCCCATTCCTTTTGAGCAAGACATCGGTTGCTTTGTTCATCCCGCATCCTCACATTCCTTTGCCTTCCCCTGCCTTGGGAGTACGACTTCTCTCCACTATAGGTCTGATGGAGCTTCCAGGTAGAGAACCCCTGGCCACAAGTGTGAACAAGCTCAGCCAATCATAGCCGATCTTCTGGGGATTTGCTCACACCAGACAGAAGGTGGTTGGAACTGAGTCATTTGATCGTGGCACCCTCGACGGCTCTTGCGTTCTTCTTGCTGCAATCCTCAGTGCTGCCTGGTTCCTGTCATTCTCAAAGCATCTGTTAAGCTCTTTTTTCTACTCAGTGAGTTACCCAGAAGGCTTTCAATAAAACCATTATTTTTTCTGACTGGAGTTAACCAGTATTCATTTCTTTCATGTGCAACCAAAGAGCGCTATTAATATACTTTGAAGCCCCAGAGCACAGTGTTTTTTCATCTCATAACACACCCTATTTCTGCCTTGTATGGAATAGCTTCCATGATTTCCCCCACATTACTTCTTTCCCCCTTGCTTTTCTCTACATTCAAGCAGCTGGTCCACTTTGTGCTCATTGCCTTAGAGGGGTGTGAGAGAGCAGAAAAGAGAGAAAAAGAAGTTTCCTAGTAACAGAAACACCCCACAGCACAGACAACTGATTTGGAAGCAAACATTATTTGTAATAGTAAGATTCTCTATCTCACCTGCCCAATCTTCCTGGACCAAAGGATTCTCAGAGTTAGAAGCAAGAAGGAAAGATGGAAGCAGATTCAGAGAGCTAAAATGCTCACTGGTCCTGGAGAGAAGCAGCATTTTCTCCTGTGCCCCTGGTAGAACCTTAGGGAGGTAGCAAGACTCCATAAGGAAAATGGATGAGTGCTGTGTTTATGCATACTGCAAAGAGGCACACTGGTTACGTGTAACCCAGAAAGGCCTAGAAGTAGCAGAGAGAATCAAAAGGTAGGTCCTGAAGGGACCTTGCAGAGGGAATGAGTGTGTCCCCACGGCTGCCTGCACGAACAGATAATACAGAACCACAGGGGCAGTGATGTCTCAGCAGATCGTGCTGACAGATGACAATGAGGACCAAAAAGCACCCCCTCCTGATGGCTTCGGATTATGTAAGCCCCTAGAATTAGTCATGACCCAAAAAATGGTGAGGACCCCAACTGAGCTTATTCCAACCTGGTAAAAAAGTAGGGCTCAAAACAGATATTAAGTTGTTAAATAAATAGAGAAATTGTTCTTTCTTACCTGGGTTGAATACTAAGATTTATTCTCCCAATATACTTATTTATATACCAGTCTTTCCCTTTCTGTTAGACAACAACACAGCTAGGACTGTCTACAGTAAACTGCTGTCACGGTAATTTATACAAAGTACACGCTCAGTGACTATGTCTTTAAGTTGAGTTGAATTGAATCAAGTAACGATTCAAACTTGAAGTTTATAGCAGGGTTAGATTACCAATATCAATGGGAGGTTTATTCTTGGTTTCTGGGAAGAGTGCTGGATATTTTGCACATTTCTATGAGAAAATGAAAGAGTTGTATCCATGATCTGGGAACATCAATGGAATTTGCTTCTCCAGCATAATGGGGGTTGTTTGGCTCTAGTGATTAGAAGGAATGAAAAACTGAAGCCCAGAGGTACGACAGTTTACCCAAAGTAACAGAATCAGTGAGAGAGTTGGGGCAAGTATCCTCCTCACTCTCCATTTACCCCATCTGGCTGAGAGTCCATGTCCTACCCTTCACCCAGTCTCTTGCAGACCCTCAACTCATTCTTGCTTCATTGTTTTCATTGTCCATCCTCCCCAGCCACCTGGCAACACCTCAACTCAGACTGAACCAAGGTCTCTGATCTTTTTGTACACCCGGGCTGCTGGGCTCTGCTTGAGAATATCAGACAACCTCACAGGTTGGTTCCACTAGAAATTCATAAATGCCAGACTTGACTGGGTCCTCGATGCTGCCAGCAATCTAACAATCTTTCTCTGTCCACGCTCTCCGAGTTTCCATTCTAGTTATTTCACAACTTTGTCTACTCTCCTCAAACTTCCGGTCCCACTCCATCTCCCCTTTTCACTCAATGCTACTAAGATGAAGTCCTCTGACGGGAAAATGCTCAGATCCCCACCACCAAGCCTACATGTATATCTGCATCCACACTCACAAGGAGCACGTTTCCCCTCACAGTCTGAGGGCAGGACTTCACTCGCGCTCTGAATTCCGCCCCTGCCCAAAACCCCTTGCCTTGCATTGCCCCTCTCTCTGCTCCATCTTTCGCTTCTGAAGCACTTGCTTATCTTCAGACTTGAGTCGATGCATACAGATGGTTCCTATTTTAAAAATCAAACACACTTCCGCAGCCCTGTGTTCCCCGCTGTTCTCTTCCCACAGCCGCCTCACTGCTCCCTTCTTGAGTTATCCACTCTCGTCATCTCCGTTTCCCACCACAGTCTGGAGGGTGCTTCTGGTCAGCTAGAGTTGCTCTTACCTGGGACCTCATTGTTGTCTATGGTGAGCGTGTCAGTCCTCACCTTGCTGACAGCATTTGACCCTGTTCAGCGGTCCCCTTCTTATTCTATTCTATTTATTTAGAGACAGAGTCTCACTCTGTTGCCCAGGCTGGAGTACAGTGGCATGAACACAGCTCATTGCAGCCTCTATCTCTTGGGCTCAAACAATCCTCCTGCCTCAGCCTCCCAAGGAGCTGGGAGCAGTCGTCCTCTTCTTGAAAACATTCTGTTATTGATTTCTGTGACTCCACATTCCTCTGATTTTCTCAAATTTCTCCAGCCACATTGTCAGCCTCTTTTTCAAGCTAATTTTCTTATATCCATTCCTTAATGGTGTCCCTTGGCATTGGTATCTTCTCTGATCACCCCAAATACTGTCCCTGGGCAATTTCATCCACTTCTTGGCTTCAATTACATTCATATTGAGGTCTCTCAAATCCATACCTGCCAGTCCTGGCCTGGGTCCTGAGTTCTGCGTCTATAACTCTATTGGACATCTTCACGTGGCATCCCCAATTCAACAATGCCTAAAACTAGACTCCTTATCTCCATGTCCCCCCAACAAAAACAAAACCAAAATCCTCCTTTTTTTCCTCCCAGTTAAAGGCAACATCACCCACCCAGTCATCCTCCTGAGCGTCTTCTACCCTCGTGGTTCCCAAATGTAGTCAATCACTGGATGCTCTCAAGTCAACTCTAAATGTTCCTGAAATCAGCCTACCGCTGGAGAGAAAACTGTAGGGAAATGGTTAAACTTGCAGTTAGACAATGGGGCTTCAAATCCCAAATCTAGCCAGGCAAGTGGCTCATGTCTATAATCCCAACATTTTGGGAGGCCAAGGTGGGAGGATCGCTTGAGCCCAGAAGGTCAGGACCAGCCCGGGCAACATAGCGAGACCTAAATGAGCTTGGCATGGTGGCACATACCTGTAGTCCCAGCTATACAAGAGGTTGAGGTAGGAGGATCATTTGAGCCCAAGAGGTTGAGGCTGCAGTGAGCCAGGTTCGTGCCACTGCACTCCAGCCTGGGCAAGAGAGTCAGACCCTGCTCAAAAACAAACAGATAAACAAAAAATCCCAGATCTACTTACTTGGAGATGCAGGCAACTTAGCCTTTCTATAGTTTCTCCATTTATAAGATGTATGTGGTGATAATACAGCCTTCCTCATGTGGATGCTATGAGGATTAACTGAGCTCGTGCATAGAAAGCACTTAGAAGAAGGTCAGGCACGATGTCTCATGCCTGTAATCCCAGCACTTTGGGAGGTCAAGGCGGGTGGATCACCTGAGGTCAGGAGTTCAAGACCAACCTGGCCAACATGGTGAAACCCCGTCTCCACTAAAAATACAAAAATTAGCCAGGCATGGTGGCAGGCACCTGTAATCCCAGCTACTCAGGAAGCTGAGACAGGAGAATCGCTTGAATCCAGGAGAAGGGGTTTGCGGTGAGCAGAGATCATGCCATTGCACTCCAGCCTAGGCAACAAGAACAAAACTCTGTCTCAAAAAAAAAAAGAAAAAGAAAGAAAGCACTTAGAAGAGTACTTGGCACATGGTCAGTGTTACCTCTCCTTATAGTCCTCACTGCCACCCACTAGTAGCAGCCACCCCCTCTTCTGTTTCCCGGCTGACCAATGCAGTCGGCTGATGGGCTTTCTGTCTACGACCCTGCTCCTCTTCCAATCTGGTCTTCACGCTACCTTCAAAAGGATTTTGTTAAACAAAATTTGTTCATGTCATTTCCCTACTAGAAACTTAACAGTGGCTGCCCATTGCCCTTAAAACAAATTTCAGATTTCTGATGACGGCTTACAAGATTCAGCATGACCAGGTCTCTGCATGCCTTTCCAAGCCGATCTTCCGCCATTTCTTCTCAATTCCTTTTCCAGCCACACAACCATTTCCTAAGACACAACTTGCCCCTTCTCACCTGGGCCTTCTCACCTCTGGGTTTTTGCAATGCTGGCCACTGTGCTGTGAACACCCTTTCTTTACCTCACCTCAATCCCTCACCTACCTGGGCTGTGCCAACCCCCGCTTATCCTTCAAGTCTCAGCTAAACATCACTTGTTTGAGGAAGATAGGCTTTTGTGAAGGTTAATATTAAGTGTCAACTTGACTAGATTGAAGGATGCAAAGTATTGTTTCTGAGTGTATCTGGGTGTTTCTGGGAGTTGCCTCTCCCAGTGGGAGAGGCAGACCCATCCTCAATCTGGGTGGGCACTATCCAATGAGCTGCCAGTGCGGTTAGAAAAAGCAGGTGGAAAGGAGATGGAAGAACCCGACTTGCTGAGTCTTCCAGCCTTCATCTTTCTTCCGTGCTGAATGCTTCCTGCCCTTGAACATCACACTCCAGATTATTCGGCTTTTGGACTCTTGGACTCACACAGTGGTTTGCCAGGGGCTCTCAGGCTTTTGGCCACAGATTGAAGGCTGCACTGTCCACTTCCCTACTTTTGAGGTTTTGGGACTGAGACTGAGCCACCACTGGCTTCCTTGCTCCTCAGCTTGCAAATGACTTATTGTGGGACTTCACCTTGTGATGGTGTGAGTCAATTCTCCTTAAGAAACTCCCTTTCATACATTCATATGTCCTATTAGTTCTGTCCCTCTAGAGAACCCTGACTAATACAGATTTAGCCTCCCAACTTGGAGAATGCCCCATCCTCTCCCGGTCCGTAACATTTACCACTGGGCTTTGTCATTGTCTATTTGTCTGTTTCTCACTGCAGATGATGAGCTCTGCTATCTTTTATAATTGCTTTTATTGCCTGTCTCCACACTAGAGTCTGAGCTATTTGGGAGCAGGGACTTCATTTGGTCCCCATTGCATCCCAAGAGCCTAGAAGTGTGCCTGGCACACTGAGTACCCTCTCAGTTAATATTTGTTAAATAAACTAAATGATGCCTAGGCTATTATTTTCCCAACACAGATGTGAGGTTTTTAGGTTGAAAAAAATGTATATTATAATTCATTTTGGAAATTGAACGCCCAGCAAATCTTCTTAAAATAATATAATCTGTTCTTGTTCAGAGACCACTCACCTTGAGAAACCTTGTACAATCTTCTCAGGTGACATCTCTGCACTTGATCATCTCTACTGTAATATATCTTCATGGAATGGGCTCCAGAGACCCTTAACCTTGAAGCAATCTTAGTTCATCTCTCTATAGAAAGATTTTTATATCAGAAAGCCTGTGGGCTACTTTAACATGAAATAATGACCTTAATCACATTTGACAACCCTTTCTACTTAAAATTATTTATGAGATTCAAGCGAGTAGTTAGGAACTTAATGACCGATCTCACTTTAAATGGTCCTTCCTTCCTAATGCTTTTGCTATAATGACTTGCAACATAAGGTTGACTTTGTTGGTTCTAGAAAGTAAGACAAAGACTTTCCTTCATTTAAAAATGTTATTTTAAAAATTTCTTTCCTTAAGCTAAAACAGATGAGATTCAAAAAGGGCATATGTCCCTAATTATTATGATTAAGCATTTATTCTTTTCACGTTAGTGTTTGGGCATCTTTTGGTCACCCAGTCCTGTTCTCTCTTCTCTTTTTTCGCTTTCCTGCCTGCCACATTTCCTGATGGCAAAGAAAACAAATAATTCAAAAGAGAAAAGTACACAATATACACAGATATACAAATGTAGAGAGAGGGCTCTTGCAATATAATCATATATGGGGAAAGAAGGATTTGCAGCAATGTCAATATAATCTATTAGTGTATATGTGTGTGTGTGTATGTTTATATGTGTATGTGTGCATGTATGTGTATATATGTATATATAAAGACTCAGTTTCAACATGCTTATCATATCAATTTCCAGGGTCATCTTCATAAATGAGTAAAATTTTAATAGATGCATATGAACACATGTAAGTATGTGTATATACACATATATACACGCATACCTGTATAAATATATACACATATATACACGCATACCTGTATAAATATACACACATATATACACGCATACCTGTATAAATATACACACACATATACACGCATACCTGTATAAATATACACACACATATACACGCATACCTGTATAAATATACACACATAGATACACGCATACCTGTATAAATATACACACATAGATACACGCATACCTGTATAAATATACACACATACATACACGCATACCTGTATAAATATACACACATACATACACGCATACCTGTATAAATATACACACATACATACACGCATACCTGTATAAATATACACACATACATACACGCATACCTGTATAAATATATACACATACATACACGCATACCTGTATAAATATATACACATACATACACGCATACCTCTATAAATATATACACATACATACACGCATACCTCTATAAATATATACACATACATACACGCATACCTCTATAAATATATACACATACATACACGCATACCTCTATAAATATATACACATACATACACGCATACCTGTATAAATATATACACATACATACACGCATACCTGTATAAATATATACACATACATACACGCATACCTGTATAAATATATACACATACATACACGCATACCTGTATAAATATATACACATACATACACGCATACCTGTATAAATATATACACATACATACACGCATACCTGTATAAATATATACACATACATACACGCATACCTGTATAAATATATACACATACATACACGCATACCTGTATAAATATATACACATACATACACGCATACCTGTATAAATATATACACATACATACACGCATACCTGTATAAATATATACACATACATACACGCATACCTGTATAAATATATACACATACATACACGTATACCTGTATAAATATATACACATATATACATGTATAAATATATACACATATATTCCATATTATGTGCATATAATGCATGTATATATACATATGTATACCATGTAATATACATATATGAAATAAACATGTATTTTATATACATATGTAAGCTATGTAGTATATGTACATAAAATACATGCATTTTATGTACATATGTATACTATGTAATATATGTATGTAAAATACATGTATTTTACATACATATGTATACTATGTATTATACATACATAAAATACATATATATTATGTACATATGTATAATATGTATACTATACACATATATTTTATAATACACATATATTTTATGTTGATATATGATATATATTTTATATATGTGTACCATAGAGTATACATATGTATGTATACATGGATTATATATACATTTATAAATAACAAATACACATTTATATATGTACTGTATGTATGTATACCTATACACACATACATATACAAACACAATACATATATTAATATATTCATATTATTTATAAATAGATGTTTGTGTGTATTACCTGTGTGTATTATACACACATAATATGAATATGTGTGTGTATATAAACCCATATGTTCATATGCATCTACAAAAATGTTACCCACTTATGAAGATGACCCTGGAAATTAATAGATGTACTAAGTATTTATGCCCCTTACAAAACTACACCGCCATACACATTTGTTTGAATTTTTAACATTTAATAACTCCAACATTTCTCCAAAGGAAATGTTAGTAATCTTTTTGTTTGGCCTAAATGTGGTACTTTTCCTTTCTTCCCAAAAACTCTCATGTTAAGCCAAAGTAAATGAAATGCCCTCTAGATTTGGGGCTAATTCCTTGACACCACCTGAAAAACCTGGAGACACCCCTGCATGCTTTAAACAGCCCAGAATTCCTGCTGAGGTGCGTCTTGCGCTTCTTACACTGTGTGCTCTCCACCTAGGCTGGACAGGTCTCCCTGCAACGCTGCACTTCATCCTTGTCCCAGGGGACATACGGCCTTTTCAGAAGAAGCTAAGGTCTTTCTTACTTACCACTGTTGCAAGAAGAATTTGAGAGCTTTCTTTTCTGTGAACTTCTGGGCTTCCCTGCTCTTCCAAAGATCGTTCTTTCGCCATGCCCAAAAGCTGGCAAACTGTCCACAGTGAGCTGTGTGACACAGAATCTGCAGAGGTGGGGAAGGCCATGGCCAAGGCTCTGTCATTTTGATAGAGTTTTGGAAAAGATGTCTCTTGTCTCTGCTATTCTTGGGAAAGTGATGTGTGAAATGAAAGCAAAACAGTATATCGGTAAAATAGGCACTCTCCACAGGGGTTTGAAAGCCACCTTAGTAGATAATGTAACAACAATGTGGCTCACACTTGTAATCCCAGCAATTTGAGAGGCCAAGGTGGGCAGATTGCTTGAGTTCAAGATTAATCTGGGCAACATGGCAAGACGCTGTCTCGACAAAAAATTTTTAAAAATTGGCCATGTGTGGTGGTGTTCACCTGTGGTCCCAGTTACTCAGGAAACTGAGGTGGGAGGGTCACCTGAGTCTGGAGGTAGAGACTGCAGTGTGCCAAGATCATGCCTCTGCACTCCAGCCTGGGCAACAGAGTGAGACCCTGTCTCAAAAAAAAAAAGCTCTGCTAAGCGTAGAAAGTGCTCCAGGGAGTACCTGGATTCAGTGTCAACAGAATGTCCATGCCACCTACAAAAATAGTAGATACAGTGATTACAGCACACAGTACATAATCTAAAGCAAGGAAAAGCACTTACATTTGCCTCTGTGGAAGCAACCAACAAGGCCGTGGGAAAATGAATAGCACAAGGCAGACACACAAACCCCTGGGAAACTGAGAGAACAGCAGGATGACCTAAAGAAATCCAACAATGAGTATCAAGTGGTAATTTGACGTGAACAAATGTAATTTTCAAATAAATTAGCAAAACCAGAAAGAGAAAAAAAGAAGGAATGGAGAAGCCAGACATCTTCTTCCTCCCACTTGCTAATGCCCAACTGTCAACAGGCGGCCATCCCTCCACTCCCTGTTCCCTGTAAGGGCTGCTCTCCCGCTGAGTCCAGCTCTTCAGAAGGGAGAGTGGAGCTTTCAAGTGTTTCTGCAAACTAGAAGACCTGCGTTTCTACCACATTTTATTATTAATTAGGCATGCTAATTAATCAATCCAAAGCACATCACTTTCCTTCCCTGTACCTCAATTCCTCTCTGTCAACTAAGGAATTTGGACTAAATTATCTCTCAGCTTCCTTTAGCTTGACTGTTGCATGCTAACTTTCTGAGTCACCTTTCATAAATGTGGAAATCTAAAGCCACTATTGTTCCAGTCTTGAAACCATGTAGTAAAAATGTTTGATCAGTTTAATTAAAGTATCTTTTCTACTGAATACAAAAGTAGAAGTTGGGGAGAATCTAAAAGTAGATTTACCAGTAGTCAGTACTATGGAAAGGGAAGATCTTGCAAGTTAATATCCTACTAACTAGATCTTAAGTGGATCTTAAGAAAAAGGAGGCTGGGCACGGTGGCTCACGCCTGTAATCCCAGCACTTTGGGAGGCCAAGGTGGGTGCATCATGAGGTCAGGAGTTCAAGACCAGCCTGACCAAGATGGTGAAACCCTGTCTACTAAAAACACAAAAATTAGCCAGGTGTGGTGGCAGGCACCTGTAATCCCAGCTACTCTGGAAGCTGAGGCAGGGAATTGGTTGAACCCAGGAGGCAGAGGTTGCAGTGAGCCGAGATCACACCACTGCACTGTAGCCTGGGCAACAGAGCGAGACTCAGTCTCAAAAAAAAAAAAAAAAAAAGAAAAAGAAAAAGGAACCAGGAAGGGAGTTTGGAGAGCAGCTTATCTCACTTTAGGAGTTCTGGAAGCAACAGATGTCACTATTAACAATCCCTTTTTCCTGGCACAGAGTTCGATTGTTAGGATATTCTGGGAGAGACTGGGAGGGATGGATCATGGAAGACTCTTAATTCTGTGTGCGTGTGTGTGTGTGTGTGTGTGTGTGTGTGTGTGTGTGTAATTATTTTTTTGAGATGGAGTCTCGTTCTGTCACCCAGGCTGGAGTGCAGTGCTGTGATCTTGGCTCACTGCAACCTCCACCTCCCAGGTTCAAGTGATTTTCCTGCCTCAGCCTCCCAAGTAGCTGGGACTACAGGTGCATGCCACCATACCCAGCTAATTTTTGCATTTTTAGTAGAGGAAGTTTTCACCATGTTGGCCAGGCTGGTCTCAAACTCCTGACCTCAGGTGATCTGCCCACCTCAGCCTTCCAGAGTGCTGGGATTACAAGGGGCAAGCTACTGCGACCGGCCTGTATATCTATATGTGACTTAAGTCACATGTTATCATTGGATTCATTAAAATAAGTTAAATAAAATTGATGAAAGGTAAAATTTCCACAATGAATATTTATCAAACTTCTTTTGGGTTTGTTTTGCTCAAGGGGGAGCTCTCTAGTGTAATCCTGTTGTAAACAAGCGAGTTATAGAGAAACGCCACACTTTGAGACAAATTATGGAGTCCTTTATTAGCCGGTGACTGAGAAACAGCTAGCGCTCAAAATTCTCTCAGCCCTGAAGAAGGGGCTAGATTCTCTTTCATACTATGGTCTAAATAGGGGAGGGGGGGTTAACTGAAGCAATTTTACAGAAGCAGAATAGGTAAAAAGTTAAAAAAATTAATTGGTTATAGAAGCAGTTACAAAAAATAAACAGTTCCAGGTGCAGGGGCTTAAATTATCACTAAGAGATAAACGCAGGGGCTTTAGGTGCCTTCCATCGAGCACATTCCCAGGAGCTGCTGGTACAGCCTGCCTCAATATCTTATCAGCAGGTGCATTCCTGGATGTGCTTGGAGTGAGCTTGCACTAGTTAGTCCCTTAAGGGGGCTATGGAGGGCTGCAAGTGAAGAAACTAAAATGGAGTCTGTCTGGCTCTCTCTGCTAGGAGAGAGTCACTCAGGTTAAAACAAGGTAGGTTATCACAATCCTACACCTCTTCTCCCCTGTCCATCAAGAAGAAAGACAAGATCTTAAAGATCACAGCCCTATCCCACTCTGTCAAAAAGAGGGGAAAACCATAATTATTCCCTCAGGGAATTTTCTCAGCGTCTCCTCTGCATTTCCTTCAGTCAGCTTGCTTACTCCATGGAAATTTGCACTTCTCAGTGGTTGTCCAGAAAATAGCCATTATCTTACTAAGGTCAGAAATATGACAGAAGTTTTTGCCTAAGCAAAATAAGAGTCAGAAAGACAAACAAAAGGCATAACTGAAATTTACTAGCTAGTCTTTCAAAGAGAGCCTTAAACGAATTTGTCCTCTTCTGCCCTCTCGCTGATTTTTATAAATTGTTGGCAATCTTGTTTGCCACCAACTGTACTAAAGGGGAAGAGGGGAGGGAAGGACTTACCAGAGTTAATAATACTAATATTTCTACTATCTGGCATAGCAGAAGCTACTAGAGATCTCTATTTTCTGTTTTCTATTATTACCCATTTTCTATAACAGAGGTCAGCCTCTGGGCCAAATCCAGCCCACCACCTGCTTTTGTAAATAAAGTTTTATTGACACTGATATGGTTTGGCTTTGTCCCCACCCAAATCTCATCTTGAATTGTAGCTCCCATAATTCCCATGTATTGTGGGAGGGACCCAGTGGGAGATAATTGAATTATAGGGGCATTTTCCCCCACACTGTTCTCATAGTAGTGGATAAGTCTCATGAGAGCTGATGGTTTTATAAGGGGAAATCCCTTTCACTTGGCTCTCATTCTCTCATCTGCCATCTTGTAAGACATGCCTTTCACACTCCACCATGATTGTGAGGCCTCCCCAGCCATGTGGAACTGTGAGTCCATTAAACCTCTTTTTCTTTATAAATTACCCAGTCTTGGGTATGTCTTTATCAGCCGCGTGAAAACTCACTCATACAGTCACACAACCACGAGCATTCATCTGTGCACTGTCTATGGCTGCCATCGTATGGTTACAGCAGGGTTAAATAGCTGAGACAGAGGCCATGTGCCTCACAAAGCCTAAAATATTTACTAACTGGCCTTTTACAGGAAAACAATTGCCAACTCTTGTTCTATAATAATAGAACACACAACTTTAAGCAAGGTGCATGGCTGCCTAGAAGACAGGACTTACAAGTGGAAATTGTGGGCCAGGCATAGTGGCTCACGCCTGTAATCCCAGCACTTTGGGAAGCTGAGGCGGGCGGATAACCTGAGGTCAGGAGTTCGGGACCAGCCTGGCCAATGTGGTGAAACCCTGTCTCTACTAAAAATGCAAAAATTAGCTAGGCATGGTGGCAGGAACCTGTAATCCCAGCTACTCAGGAGGCTGAGCCTGGAGAATCACTTGAACCTGAAAGGCGAAGGTTGCAGTGAGCTGAGATCGTGCTATTGCACTCTAGCCTGGGAGACAAGAGTGAAACTCTGTCCCAAAAAAAAAAAAGAAAAAGTAAGTGGAAATTGTGTACAACTTCATCTTGAACCATAAGATGAGCTTGAGAATAGCAGTCATGCACAGCAGAGAAAAGGGGTGGGACCTGCTTGGTCCCTACACCATGGAGAACCATGTTAGACTTGGACATTCTGCCAGGATTTCTAAATGGGAGGAAAATAAATTTTATTTTGGATTTTAAATATCTCACAACTAAATATAATCCTAATATGTTGGGATATATCCATTTTTAACATAAAATGTAGCATAAGCTAAAACTATCTTTTTATGTATCTTCCTCAAACAAAAACACATGGCATCTGCATTCAAGTCAAACAGACATTACCAAAGCTATTCAAAATAATTCCAAATAAGTAAATTCCAGACCATTCAGTAAAAGTATCATTATAGAGAGATGGGTGTGCTCCTCATTTGCATCTGAAGTTTTGTTTCTATGTGTTATAATTTCTCAGTTTATCATCCTCATCTGCATCTGAAGTTTTATTTCTACATACTATAATTTCTCAGTTTATTATCCTCATCCTTAATTGGGTGAGGACAGCATGTTATTTCTGTTAAGTATAATAACTATTAAACAAAGTTGTCACGCCCTATGTAATTGGGAATGTCAAATTCAAAATGTGTGCTTTCCTAATGTGTCATGACAAATTAATAGGCATTTGTCAGGGGAGAATCAGGGTCATGTTGGCTATAGGTTGACTTTTCCTTCTTGCGGTTATTGTCTTTTTGCTTTCATTGTTGATTGGTAAAAACTGTTCCATCACAACAGGCAAGAAACCTGTGCCTGGTGACATAGCAGGTGTGGGGCACATGTCTTAACAAAATGCCTTTTTATTAATTTAATTAGCACCTGTGATCACAGGCTGGTGATGCAAGAGCGAGTAGCCAAAGCATTGACTCCACAAAGGCTGCCTTCCCCCACAGCAACCATCACTCTGGGACTCTTTCTTCTCTGTCTTCCTCCAGTGCAAAGTCAGGTGTCACTCACTCCTGTCGCCTGATCTCTATTACATTAAAAAGGTGAAAATATGGGCCTTTCTGGAAATGTGACACTTTGATGAAATATTTTGCTTTTACTTGATGAGAAAATGTTAGAGGATTTAAGAATAAATAGTAATATAAATGTTTAGAGTAGAATCATAGAATTTAGAATGGTGGAAGATACCCTTGAAATCATTTAGCCTCAGCTCCTCACTCTCTGGAAAATAAAACTGAGGCTCAGAAAGGTGAGGTGTTTGCCCAAAGTTATAGAAAGATCTGGATTAGAAAACAAACTTTTTATTTATAATCCAGGACTCTTTCCATGAATTGGGCATATTTCTCACTCTATCACCCGGGCTGGAGTACACTGGTGTGATCTCAGTTCACTGCAACCTCCACCTCGCGGGCTCAAGTGATTCTCCTGCCTCAGCCTCTCAAGTAGCTGGGATTACAGGCACGCGCCACCACCCCTGGCAAATTTTTGTATTTTTAGTAGACACAGGGTTTTGCCATGTTGGCCAGGCTGGTCTTGAACTCCTGATCTCAAGTGATCTGCCTGCCTCGGCTTCCCAAAGTGCTGGGATTACAGGCATGAGCCACCCCACCTGGCCAAAGCATATTCTTTTTTTTTTTATTTTTTTGAGACAGAGTTTCACTGTTGTCGCCCAGGCTGGAGTGCAATGGCACCATCTCGGCTCACTGCAACCTCCACCTCCCAGGTTCAAGCAATTCTCCTGCCTCAGCCTCCCGAGTAGCTAGGATTACAGGCACCCGCCACCAGGTCTGGCTAATTTTTTGTATTTTTAGTAGAGACAGGGTTTCACCATGTTGGCCAGGCTGGTCTCAGACTCCTGACCTCAGGTGATCCGCCTGTCTCAGCCTCCCAAAATGCTGGGATTACAAGCATGAGCCACCACGCCCGGCCTAAGGCATATTCTTTTAGTGTCAAGCTTTTTCACTTTTTGAGGAAATGTGACACTGAGTTTGACTAGGTGTGTAATGGGTTTTGGAACCACAGGGAATGTTTCCCAGAAAACATGGACTTCCTCCTCTCATAGCACGTTGGGCAAGTTAGGATAGCCACGGTCTAAGCATGGTTATCAATAAACAGATTAGATGTTCAAAGATCGTGCTATCCAGAGGTAATCAGAAAGACCTAAAAATTCAGTAATTTTGCTAATACATGAATTTGGCTTTGCCAGGAAAATCTCTTCGATTACAATCACCCCAAGCATCCACCCATTATCAAACATAGCTTTGCTATTCTTTTATTGTAATTGAGTGCTCAGTAACAACCCTAAAGTGATCTTTAAAAATTGTTTTTATTGGCCAGGCACGGTGGCTCATACCTGTAATACCAGCACTTTGGGATACCAAGAAGGGTGGATCACCTGAGGTCAGGAGTTCGAGACCAGTCTGGCCAACACGTCGAAACCCCATCTCTACGAAAAATACAAAAATTAGCTGGGCATGGTGGTGTGCGTTTGTAGTCCCAGCTACTCGGGAGGCTGAGGCAAGAGAATCTCTTGAACCCGGGAGGCAGAGGTTGCAGTCAGCCGAGATCATGCCACTGCACTCCAGCCTGGGCAACAGAGCGAGACTCCATCTCAAAAAAAAAAGTTTCTATTGTGAAAAATTGCTTAGTTTCAAGTGGTAGTAACAGTTCAAATTGGCCCAGACCAAAAATAGGGTGCAAATGATTGATTCATATAACCAGACGGTCTAAGGATACAATAGTTTCAGACCAGGTTAGGTCCAGGTGTTAAATGATGCCATTAAGAAGACGTTTCCATCTTTCCACATTACTTCCTCTGTGTTAGTTTCCTTCTCAAGGAGTCTCTCTGCTTGTGACAAAAAGACTATCACCACTCCGCCAGGCATGGTGCTTCACGCCTGTAATCCCAGCACTTTGGGAGGCCCAGGTGGGCGCATCACCTGAGGTCGGGAGTTAGGAACCAGCCTGGCCAGCATAGTGAAACCCTGTCTCTACTAAAAATATGAAAATTAGCCGGACGTGGTGGCGCATGCCTGTAATCCCAGTTACTCCGGAAGCTGAGGCAGGAGAATCGCTTGAACCTGGGAGGTGGAGGTTGCAGTGGGCCGAGATCGCACCATTACACTCCAGCCTGGGCAACACGAGCAAAAACTCCGTCTCAAAAAATAAATAAATAAATAAATTAGCCGGGCGTGGTGGTACATGCCTGTAATCCCAGCTACCTAAGAGGCTGAGGCAGGAGAATTGCTTGAACCCGGGAGGCGGAGGTTGCAATGAGTCGAGATCACGCCTTCACTGCACTCCAGCCTGGGCCTCAGAGTGAGACCATGCCTCAGAAAAAAAAAAAAAGAGAAAGAAAAAAGTCTACATCACCAGCTACAAACTTACATCCTACTCACTTAGCAACCTCAAAGGGTTCATGTTCCCGTTTGTGGAGTCGGAGAATGTGGTGAGAAAACTTGAACCACACCAACTGAAATGGGTACAGTGGGGGATGCCCAGTGGCATGCTGGTAAATGTTTAACAACCAGCTTCAGGGTTGGGGGTGAGGTCCTCATCTGTAATGTATGTTAATTTTTTTGGTGTAAATACTGTCACCATGGCAGATTTCACACCACCAATGTGGTCCCTGAGCATGGGATTGGGAAGAGGTGTGCAGGAGTAGCCATTAGATAACATTTCTACCATATAGCCAAATGGATGGCCTCAAGATTATCCAAAATAATAAAACGTAGCAAAATAATCAGGAAGTGATGACTTTTGAGTATGTATTACCTTTGCTTTTAATATCTTAATTTATTAAATCACAGGTTTATGAGCCAGGCACGATAGCTAACGCCTGTAATCCCAACGCTTTGAGAGGTCTAGGCAGGACGATCACTTGAGGCCAGGAGTTGGAGACCAGCCAGGGCAACAAAACAAGACCCCATCTCTATAAAAACATTTAAAAACTAGCTGGGAGTGGTGGTGCCCAGCGGTGGTCCTAGCTACTCAGGAGGCTGGGGCAGGAGGATTGCTTGAGCCCGTGAAGCGGAAGCTGCAGCAAGCTATGATTACACCACCACACTCCAGTCTGAACAACAGAGTGAGACCTTGTCTCAAAATAAAAAGGAGAAATTTTTAGAATTTAATGTTAAATAACGACTATGTATGGCCAAATTCCTGAAATCTTAACAATTAGCTTTTATGAGCTGGTGTGAGCAGATCTATCATACTACTGGCAAATGCTCCAAAAGGAGAAGGTTTCTGTTGTTAGAAAAAGGGAAAATCAATGCTGAGTAGGCAAAGATAATGGATGTTTCTTATAAGTGAGAGGTATGATTCGTGAAAGTTGAAAATTAATACTATTGTAGTGTGAGGATATGCAAAGAAAATTTTGTCTTGCCCAAAATGTATTTCAAGAGAAAATCTTCGAGAATTAGGGAGACACGAAGACCTTGTGTGTGTTTACCCCTCACAGTATCAAGAGGGAACAGCTCTCGAGTAAGTACTTCCGCAACCTCAGCCCTAAGTGTTGGTGGTTTGGTACAGGACAGCCCCAGCAACCATACCTGAGACCCTGAACAGTTACAGAGATGGGGGTGAGCATGGAGGACAGCTGGAAAAAAGAGCTTCTCAGTATACTGCTCTCACAGCCTCCAAAAAAGTCAATATTAATCATTTAAATTAAATGCAGAAAGTTCTTGGTAAACTGATGGAAGTCTAGACTGTCATTTTTTGGAAATAACCGAAGTTGCCTTTCTATCCATAGGACAAACATTCTCTGTCAAATCTGTCTTCAGTAACCCAGAATTCCTTGATCACTACACCTCTGAATTTCTGTAATTTTTTTTTTTTTTCAGACAAAATCTTGGTCTGTCACCCAGGCTGGAGTGCAGTGGTGTGATCTCAGCTCACTGCAACCTCTGCCTCCTGGGTTCAAGTGATTCTTCTGCTTCAGCCTCCCTAGTAGCTGGGATTACAGGAGCCCATCACCACACCTGGCTAATTTTTTGAATTTTTAGTGGAGATGGAGTTTCTTCATGTTAGCCAGGCTGGACTCGAACTCCTGACCTCAGGCGATCCACCTGCCTTGGCCTCCCAAAGTGCTGGGATTACAGGTGTGAGCCACCGCGCCCGGCTTTGAATTTCTGTAATACTTAATCATGACACGTGTCACCCTATGGTTATACAGTCAACCCTCCGTTATCTGTGGGTTTGGTACTGGCAGATTCAACTAAGCTCAGGTCAAAAATATTTGAAAAAAAAATGGTAATAATAATAAAACAATAAAAAAAAATTTTAAAGAACAGTATAAAAACTATTTACATGACATTTACATTGCATTAGGTATTATAAGTAATCTAGAAGTAATTTAAAGTATATGGGAGGATATGCACAGGTTATATGCAAACATCACAAAATTTTATGTAAAGGACTGGAGCATCCATGGATTTTTGTATCCATGGGGATCTTGTAACCCATCCACTGCAGATACCAAGGGATTACTGTATACTCTCATTTTGTTATAAAAATATTTATGGGTGAAAGTTTTATCCTGCGAAATGCATTATTGGCTCCTTGGTATTTATTTTTGTCCCCAACAATACTGAACATAGTATTAAGCACATAGAATGTATTCAATGAAAAAGTGTGTTGACATGAAAGACTGGATGTAGGGTAACACATTACTACCTACTAACAGAACTTATTTTATGAAAAGACAATGGTGCAATAGTAAGTTACATTTAAATGGTATTTGTAAATCCTTGAGGGTGCCTAAAAATGGTTTAATCATTTTGAAATCTTTTTTTTTTTTTTTTTGAGTCAGATTCTCACTCTGTTGCCCAGGCTGGAGTGCACCAGCACAATCCCGGCTCACTGCAACTTCCACCTCCCAGGTTCAAGCGATTCTCCTGCATCGGCCTCCTGAGTAGCTGGGATTGTAGGCGCCCACGACCACGCCAGCTAATTGTTGTATTTTTAGTAGAGATGGGGTTTCGCCATGTTGGCCAGGCTGGTCTCGAACTCCTGACCTCGGGTGATCTGCCCGCCTCAGCCTCCCAAAGTGCTGGGATACAGGTGTGAACCACTACGCCCGGCCTGAAATCTTATTGACAATGCAAATTTAATTTTAAAATATTTTTTACAAACATAGTATAATGGTAAGATGTAAGTTAGGCTCTGTCCAAATTAACTCAAATTTTATATTAATCAGGGCCAATATATGAGATTTCACTATAAATAAGACTTTACAGTAATACTTGTCTTCATCAGTCCCTTAGTACCATTATCCACAGTAGGAAAGCTGACCAAACTTGATAAATTCACAGAAGTATAAAAAGAACAACTTCAAATTACATGGCCTGACTGTGCCAATGCCTTATGTTGGCTGTTGGAAGACATATCACCTGTTTCTTAGGACAGAGCCTAAGGTTGGATCTTAATTCCAAGTGATTTTCCAAGTTGAATGTGGAAGTCGGCACTCAAACTGTTGGCAACCATTTTACTTACCTCTAGAGAGGCAAGGTCATTTTCCTGGTAAGAAAATGGAGACAATTATCATTTAATCATCTTAATTGTTCGTACCACACATTAGAAAAAGTCATAGAGTCTCAAATGCTATAATTATAGTGTCTTATTCAGCCTTTCTACTACAGCTGTTCCATAAACAACCCCCCATCCCTCACTAAAATAGCTTCGTAAAATTATGCTGTTCAGCTTTTGGTTAGAGTTTCCTAGTTTAAAGGAGATTTATACCATATATCCGAAGTCATCTCCTTTTGATTTTTATTTCTCAGTCTTGTTGGGCCAGCTGCCTTACGCAGATGGAAATTTGGTCCCTTAAATAGGCTGTGTCTATCACGGTACCTGCTGGCACCATTTCTTCCCGTTTCATGTTGAATTGCATACATTTTTGCCCCTGGGCCTCTCTAGCCACACTTTAAATTATACCTAAATTTAATTTTAATTCCAAACACAATCTTTCAGAGCAGCAAATAAAAACAAAGTAATTAGAAGTTTGTGATATAACAATAACATAGAGGAACAGAAAAATGATGTAAATGTGGAATTTAAGAAAGACTGTGCCAAATTCACAAATGCTAAATCTCCCTCCCCCGCCAATCAAGAGAGAAACAATATTTTTAATCCATAGTCAAATTGCCCTGATATCCCAAGGACTTACAGAATGTGATTTAGCATAGCTAACTTTCCAAAACAATTAAATTACTATGCCTTTAAGAATCTAAACCTTAAAGGCCTAATCACTCTCATTTGAATACTTTCCAAGATGTACTGTATTAAGTTTTTTGTTTGTTTGTTTTGTTTGTTTGTTTGTTTGTGAGACAGAGTCTTGCTCTATCACCCAGGCTGGAGTGCAATGGCACCATCTCAGCTCACTGCAAGCTCCGCCTACAGGGTTCAAGCGATTCTCCTGCCTCAGCCTTCTGAGTAGCTGGGATTACAGGCGCCCACCACCACGCCAGCTAATTTTTGTATTTTTAGTAGAGACATGGTTTCACCATGTTGGCCAGGCTGTTCTCGAACTCCTGATCTCAGGTGATCCGCCTGTCTCAGCCTCTCAAAAGTGCTGGTATTACAAGCATGAGCCACCACGCCTGGCCTGTATTAAGTTTATAAATATAATTTAATCCACTTCTTAATGACTTGCAGTCATCCTTATGAACACTGTTCCTTGAACTGCATTGTAACAGCATGGAGAGACAAAAATAATGAATTTCCATTCAATACCACATGTGTTTGTTTGCCTTCTCTGTGCTAGACATGATCCTGGGTTCTAAGAATAGAAATGAATGAAACCTGGGCCCTGCATCCGGGGTTTCTCATTCTCACTAAGAGAACCTGAGAGCACAGGAAATGTACTGTAAGAGGTGGCAGACAACTGGCCTTGGACCAGTAAGTGAGAATCAGATCATGAGTGACTTTGGATTTGATCCCGATCAGGTTCAAAGGATCACCCTAAGACAGCAGGAAGAAAAAACAGGGTAGGGGCAAAACTGGAGACAATGGGATAAGTTTGGAGAAGGCTGTTCCGGTCCAGACAAGAAAGGCCGCCAACCTGAGCCAAAGCCGTAACAGATTTAAGAAGTAGAACTGACAGGATCTGTGTCCATCTTTTTTTTTTTTTTTTTTTTTTTTTTGAGATGGAGTCTTGCTCTGTCACTCAGGCTGGAGTGCAGTGGCGCGATCTCGGCTCACTGCAAGCTCCGCCTCCCGGGTTCACGCCATTCTCCTGCCTCAGCCTCCTGAGTAGCTGGGACTACAGGCGCCCGCCACCACGCCCGGCTAATTTTTCGTATTTTTAGTAGAGATGGGGTTTCACCGTGTTAGCCAGGATGGTCTCGATCTCCTGACCTTGTGATCCAACCACCTCGGCCTCCCAAAGTGCTGGGATTACAGGCGTGAGCCACCACGCCCGGCCTATGTGTGTGTCCATCTTAATGGAATAAAAAAGAAAGAAGAATCTAGAGTGGTTTCTAAGACTCTTACTAGGTCAACTAGATAGATGACACCATTAGCCAAAATGGGTAATTCAGAAAGAATGGGCACGGCAGGAAAGATACTGAGTTTGGTTTTTCATTTATTTATTCAACAAGTATTGATTGGCCACCTGCTATGAGCCGGTCACAATGGTTAGCAAAAAGAGAGAAGATCCCCAACCTCCTGGAGCTCACAGGAGAGAATAGACTGAGTAATCACGTAACTATATGTATAAACGACCCCTGTGATGTTCGCTAGAGAGAAGAACATGGTGCTGTGAGGGTTTATCATTGCAGGATTTCACCTCCTTGAGGGTCAAGGGGGCTTCCTGAGGAATTAGTGTCAGAGGATTGGTGTCAGACGGGAAAGATGAGTAGGAGTTAGCTAAGAGAAAGAGGGAAGAAAGACATTCACAAAGGAAACAATGTCCAAGGGCCCTGTGGTGGGAGTGTGGCATTTTCAAGGAACTCAAAGAAAACCAGTGTGGCTGGAGCAGCGAGGCCAGGAGATAATGCTGGAGAGATGGACAGATGCCAGACCACAGAAGGCCTTGGAAGCAGGCCCAAGGGGCATCCCATCTGCACCAACATGGCCATCCTGTTGTTAAGACATCACACACATCCTACCAGTGGGTGAATAGCTGCTGCCCAGAGCTACCCCCAAGTGTTCCTCCTAGTACCCCACACACTAATCTAGCTGCCCAGTCCCCGTCTAGACTTCCCCAAGATCTGGCAAGCAGAAGAGTACTATTTGGCATGATATGGGGGCAGCAGCTTTTCAACGCCGCTCCAAGATGCTGGCATGTGTTCTGATGGATCTGTACCTGTGCGATATTGCTTTTCCACTAATTTAACAAGAATAAAGAGACATCCTTGAAGTAGGTGACATGATCAGATACATGTTTTGAAAATACCGCATCAGAGGCCTAGCGTGGTGGCTCACGCCTGTAATCCCAGCACTTTGGGAGGCCAGGGCAGGTGGATCACCTGAGGCCAGGAGTTTGAGACCAGCCTGGCCAAAATGGTGAAACCCCATCTCTACTAAAAATACAAAAAAACTACCTGGGCATGGTGGCGTGTGCCTATAATCCCAGCTACTCGAAGGCTGAGGCAGGAGAATGCTTGAACTCAGGAGGCGGCTCTGTCAGTGAGCCTAGATCGCACCACTGCACTCCAGCCTGGGCGACAGAGCGAAACTCCATCTGAAAGAAAACAAGAAAAAGAAAATAAATGCCACTTCAATTTACAGGTGAAGGACAGATGAGGGGCCAAATTGAAGGTAGACGGACCAGTAAGTGGACTACTGTTCATCTTGGTTTCTATTAGGGCGGTGATTGTGGTAGAGATGGAGAGAAACAAACAGATCCAAGAGTTAATTAGGGAGAAGAAATCTCAATTTTTTTTTGTTTTAGAGATGGGGTCTCACTGTGTTACCCAGGCTGGTCTCAAACTCCTGGCCACAAGTGATCCTCCAATCTCAGCCTCCTGAGTAGCGAGGAATTACAGACACAAGCTACTGCACCTGGCCCCCAGCAGACTTTCTTAGAGAAACTGGCAAGATGATTCTAAAACTTATAAAGAAATACAAAAGGTCTAGAATAGCCAAAGTTATTTTTAAAAAGAAAAGCAACATTGAAGGACTTACACTAAATGATTGCAAAGGTCAGTAGTTGCCAGGGGCCAGTAGGCAGGGAAGGATGAATCGGAGTGGCACGGAGGATTTTTAGGGCAGTGGAGCTACTCTGTATGATACTGTAATGGTGGATATGTGTTGTTATATATTTGTCCAAACCCCTAGAATGTACAGCATCAAGAGCGAACCCTGATGTAAACTATGGACTGGGGGTGATAATGATGTGTTGATATAGATTCATCTATTGTAACAAACATGTTGATAGTAGGGGATGCTATGCCTTTATTGAGGGGCAGGGAGTATATGGAAACTCTCTGTACTTTCTGCTCAATTTTCTGTGAACATAAAACTTTTCTAAAAATTGTCTATTAAAAATAATAATGATTGAGTCTCTGTGTAGAAAAAAAAACAGTTTAGGTCATGCAAGGCTATCCAAAATAAACGGAAATTCTCCTGCCCTCTCCTGCCCCAGCCCGGTCTCCAGAGAGAAGCAGTGTTTGCGGTTGAGCAGCCTCCTTTCCCAAGCCTGTTACTGCAGAAACCAGTCCTGGCCGCAGCATACAGAGCTTTGTTTCTTGTAAAAATGCTCTCATACCACGTGCATTGCTCTGCAACTTGCTTTTCTTTATCCACTTCACACACTGCCTACCTCCTCTTGCTCAGTCTTCTGAATCTCTGCCCAGGATTTACACGCCCAGGGGTGGGTTCTGAGGCCCCTGCCCAGGCTCACATTCCATCCCTGTGTTGTTGGGGGCTGAACCTGCTCTGTCCTTCATCTCTAGGAACAGGGCAGATGCAATAGTCAGTGGTAGAGGGTGGGGGCCAGATTTCAGTTTTCTCTTCTACAAATAATGGTGCATTTTCGTAAGAGTATTTTTGTAAAATAAATTCATTAAAACAGGAAAAAAATGATAAATTGGACTCTAATTTTTTTCTCTTCAATTGCCATTTTTAAGAAAATGAAATACAAACTGTACACTCAGAAAATACTTGCAAAACATAGAGTATCTGATACTTGTATCCAGAATATATAAGAACTTTTACAGTTCAATAGCAAAAAGACAAACCAATTTTTTTAAATAGGCAAGATACCTGAACAGACACTTCCCCTCAGAAGATACACAAATGGCAAATAAACAGATAAATAGATGCTCAATGCCATTTGTCATTAGGTAAATGCTATCCAAAACCATAATGAGATACCACAGCACAACTATCAGGATGCTCACATTTAAAAGACTGACCACATCAGGTATTGGTAAGGATATAGAACAGCTGAGACTCTCACACATTGTCCATGGGAATGTAGAATGGTACAAATGCTTTGGAAAACAGTTTGGCAGTTTCACATACTCTTACTATAAGACCCAGCAATTCCACTCATAAGATTCACTCAAGAGAAATGAAAACATATGTCCACACAAAGACCTGTGGTTAGCTTTATTCATAATGGCCGCAGACTGAAAACAACCCGAATGTCCAACAACTGGTGAACAGATAAGCAAACTGTGGTATAGCTCCACAACAGAATACCACTCAGCAATAAAGAGGAATGAATTCACATGTGCAACAACACGAATTTCAAAAGCATTATGCCAAGTAAAAGAAGCCAGCCACGAAAGACTACATACTATGTCATTCTGTTTATTTGAAATTCTACCAAAAAAAAAAAAAGTCAGTGGTTGCCAGAAGCAGCTGGGATGGGGGAGAAGAATGACTGAAAAGGGGCACAAGGGGAACTTTTTGGAGTGACGGAAAGATGGAAAGATTCTATACCTTTTTTTTTTTTTTTTTTTGAGATGGAATCTTGCTCTGTCACCCAGGCTGGAGTGCGATGGCCCGTTCTCAGCTCACTGCAGCCTCCACCTCCTGGATTCAAGCAATTCTCCTGCCTTGACCTCCTGAGTAGCTGGGATTACAGATGCGTGCCACCATGCCTGGCTAATTTTTCTGTTTTTAGTAGAGACAGGGTTTCACCATGTTGGCCAGGCTGATCTCGAACTCCTGAGCTCAAGTGATCCACCCACCTTGGCCTCCCAAAGTGCTGGGATTACAGGCGTGAGCCACCACCCCTGGCCCAGATTCTATATCTTGACTGTGGTAGTGGCTATGTAACTGTGTACATTCATCAAAATTCATTCAACTTTACACTTAAAATTGTTAAATTTTATTGCACTGAAATTATACTCCAAGAAAGCTGTCTTTTTAAGGTAAACAATACCTTAAAGGTAAAACTTATGGGTTGATAAATTCCTATGAAGTGACCTTACAGAGGGGAAGGAAGAAGAGTTGTTAAGCAACTGACTGAATGGCAAAACCAGCGGTTCAAATAATGAATTCTGAAGAATAGGATTTGTAGGGTGAAATCATGAGTCTACTCTGTGTCTGTTGAGTTTAGGAGCCTTTGAGATACCTAAGAAGAACAATCAAGGCGATTGCTTGGTACAGTGGTCTAGAGCAAGCTTGTCCAATCCACAGCCCACAGGCCACATGGGGCCCACGACGGCTTTGAATGTGGCCCAACACAAATTTGTAAACTTTTCTTAAAACATTATGAGATAGTATTTCTTTTTTTTTTTCCTTTTTTTTTTATTTTTAGCTCATCAACTATTGTTATAGTTAGTGTGTTTTATGTGTGACTCAAGACAGTTCTTCTTCCAATGTGGCCCAGGGAAGCCAAAAGATGGGATACCCCTGGTCCAGAGCTTTGAAAAAGTCTTAGGTTAATGATATAAGTTTGTGAGTCATCTGCATGTAATCAAAAGAACATAGGGTGAGAAAAGGGAAAGCTAAGACCAGACCTTCTGAGAAACACCAACATTTAAAAGCAGGGAAAGAAAGATGAGGCTACAAAGGCATCAAAGTGGCTGGCTGGCTCTTTTATCAGGATGGCAAAGCAAGAGAGCTTGAAACCATTGGGGAACAAGTGGGTGGAGATTCCAAGAAGACATTTGGAGATGTGAGTAGGAACTTGGAAGAGATGCCAGTGGAAGAAAAGTAGATTCAAGACTCATTCACACATAGGTAGTAAGTTAAAGTCATGCTGGGAGCCCCTCAACACGAGGGCAAACAGAAGAGATAATCCTGGAAAACACTAAGTTGTTTATGTTGTTGTTGTTGTTTTGAGACGGAGTTTCGCTCTTGTTGCCCAGGCTGGAGTGCAACGGTGCAGTCTCAGCTCACTGCCACTTCTGTCTCCCGGGTTCAAGCAATTCTCCCGCCTCAGCCTCCTGAGTAGCTGGGATTACAGGTATGTGCCACCACACCCGGATAATTTTGTATTTTTAGTAGAGACAGGGTTTCACCACGTTGGCTAGGCTGGTCTCAAACTGACCTCAGGTGACCTGCCTGCCTTGGCCTCCCAAAGTGCTCAGATTACAGGCGTGAGCCACCATGCACAGCTGAAAACAATAAGTATTAAGGAGCAGTTGGAGGATACAGAGATTTAGGAAAGAATGGTGTTGCCAAGATGAAGGGAAGAAAGAATTTAAAGAAGGAGGCAAAGGGAAACTGAAAAGCTTCAGAAAGATCAGCTAGTGTTTGGACTGAGAAGTCTCCTCTAGGTAATTAAAATATTATGTTTATGTGTTATGGTGTGTTATGTATGTTATGTTATATATGTTATGTTATTGATATAATTTGGCTCTGTGTCCCCACCCAAATCTCATCTCAAATTGCAATACCCATGTGCGGAGAAGGGACCTGGTAGGAGGTGATTGGATCATGGGTGTGGTTTCCCCCATGCTGTTCATGTTGTTCTCATGATAGTGAGGGAGTTCTCATGAGATCTAATGGTTTTATAAGGGGCTTCCCCCTTTGCTCACGCGCGCTCTTTCTCTCTCTCTCTCTCTCTCTCTCTCTCTCTCTCTCTCCTGCCGCCTTTTGAAGAAGGTGCTTGCTTCCCCTTCTGACATTGATCATAAGTTTCCTGAGGCCTCCCCAGCCATGAGGAAACACGAGTCAAGTAAACCTCTTTATAAATTACCCAGCCTTGGGTTTTCCTTTATAGCAGTGTGAAAACGGACTAATACAAATATGTTACATTATGTTATGTTATGTTATGTTATGTTACGTTATGTTATGTTATGCTATGTTATGATTCGGGGGGACGTTAGGAAGACCAGTTTTAGTGAAGTGATGGGGTAGAAACTGAACTGAGGAGGGTTGAGGAGTACGTGGGAGACAGTGGCTCTGAAGCAGACAATAGCTAGGAAGAACACAGGGCCAAGGTAGGTTCTTCTATTTGTCTTTTTGGGGTTTTGACTTTTTGTTTATTTGTTTATTTATTATTATTATTCTTTGAGACAGCATCTCATTCATTGCCCAGGCTGGCATGCAGTGGTGCAATCTTGGCTCACTGCAACCTCTGCCTCCTGGGTTCAAGCGATTCTCCTACCTCAGCCTCCTGAGTAGCTGGTATTACAGGAATGCACCACCATACCCACATTTTTCTACTAAAAATTTGTATTTTTAGTAGAGATGGAGTTTCACCATGTTGGCCAGGCTGGTCTCGAACTCCTGACCTCAAATGATCCACCTACCTTGGCCTCCCAAAATGCTGGGATTACAGGCATGAGCCACCGCATCTGGCAGACTTTCTGTTTATTTGTTTTTAAGATGGGGTACATTTACACACACTTACAGAAAGGCAGAAACAACAGATAGCAAAAGGTTGATCATAGAAAATAGAGAGGGGGACCATGGGTGGAATGGGAGCTGCGTGGAGATAAAAGGGAATGAGAGCTGGAGCCCAGATGGAGGAATTATCAGTGGACAGGAAGACAGACATGTCTGAGGCAAGACTGGAAGCTTCAGTTTTCCCAAGGAAGTAGAAGATCATCTACTGAGAGAAAAGTGGTAGGAGAGGAAGGCTGCTTTGAGAAGAGTGGCAGGGTTTGGACAGGCCTCCCTGGAGAGGGGAAACTAGAGCAGTCCAAAGACGTACAGGTGGGGCAGGTGCCCACGATGCTCTGCCAAGTCCCCCAGATCCTTCACCATTTCAGTGTTCACGGCCTACAGCCAGCACCTGCACCTATAAGCCCTGGGGCTGACCCCAGGCTATGGGAGCCCATTTGCCTGGATAGCTGGAAGTGTGGAGGTATTTAAGAATTCCAAGGGGCAGAGGCAGACTGGAAAGGTGGCGATACAATGAGAAACAAGTGAGAGTCAGAGTGTTGGTAATTCTTAATGGGATAGTGATTAAGAGTGTGAGCTCTGGAGTCGAACTGCTCAGGTCCAAATCCTAGCTCCAACACTGACCCTGGCAAAGTAGATGACCTTCATCAGCTCTTTGGCTAGATATTTAACCTCTCTGAGCCTTGATTTCCCACTTGAAAACACTAGCAAATTAAATGACCTTCATTGGATCTTGGGCAAGATATTTAGCCTCTCTCAGCCTTGATTTTCTCACCTGAAAAATGGGGATAGTTTTTTATTGTGGTAAAATATATAACATAAAATTTACCATTTTAGTTATTTTTAGATATACGGTTCAGTGGCATCAAGCATATTCACACTGTTGTTCAACCATTACCACCATCCATGTCCAGAACTGTTGCATCTTCCCAGACTGAAACTCCGTACTCATTAAATACTAACTCCCAATTCTCCCCCTTTCCCCAACCCCTGGCAACCACCATTCTATTACCTTTTTTAATTATTTATTTATTTATTTATTTATTTATTTATTTGACAGAGTCTCACTCTTTTACCCAGGCTGGAGTACAGTGGCGCCATCTCAGCTCATTGCAATCTCTGCCTAACAGGTTCAAGCGATCCCGCCACCTCAGCCTTCCGAGTAGCTGCGATTACAGGCACGCACCACCATACCTGGCTAATTTTTGTATTTTTAGTAGAGACGGGGTTTCACAATGTTGGCCAGGCTGGTCTTGAACTCCTGACCTCAAGTGATCTGCCTGCCTCAGTCTCCCAAAATGCTGGGGTTAGAGGTGTGAGCCACTGCGCCTGGCCCTCTATTTTCTGTTTCTGTGAATTTGCCTATTCTAGATTCCTCATATAAGTGAAATCATACTGTATTTGTCCTTTTGTATCTGGCTTATTTCATTTAACATAATATCCTAAACCTAAAGATTCATCTGTTGTAGCACGCATCAGAATTTCCTTCCTTTGTAAGGCTGACTCATATTCCATTGTATAGATAGGCCACATTTTGTTAATCCATTCAGCTGTTGACAGACACTGGGTTGCTTTTTCTGTTGGCTGTTGTAAATTATGCTGCTTCTTGGGTGTACAAATATCTGTTCAGATCCCAGCTTTCAGTTCTTTTGAGTATGTACCCAGAAGACAAATTGCTAGATCATACGGTCATTCTATGCTTAACTTTTTTGAGGAGGGAATAATTTTTTAAACTGTTACAAACATATTATGTATTAGAGTCATTGCTAGTGGTGATGGGGTGTTGTAGGAATGAGGAATGGGATGGCTGGAACGATAGGAAAGTTGTGATGAGAGAATGGAATCTTGCCCTTTAAACTTTGAGAGGAGGAAGACTTTTAGACAATGATGAAGAAAGGTTTAGAGTATGATCATAAGCGTGGAGGTAAAGTCACTGGAGCTGAGGCTGAGAGGAGCTCAGGACACTGCACGAGATGAGTCATGTTCATATACTCTGCAGTGCCCTAGGAAAATAGCAGGATGAAGAGAAATGTTGAGTTTTGGAAAGGAGCAAAAAATAATAGATGTAGTTGATAAATGTCAGTGGTAAGCGAGGAAGGTAGCATAATTCTTAAATGAAGAAGACATGAATGAGGGGCAAAGATGAATGCCTTGGAAATGACAATCCAAAATTAGGATGATACAGAAATCCTTCCTGTCCTGTGGCCAGCACAGCACATGAGTTTGAAAACTCAGCTCTCAGAGAAGTGTAGTGGAAGCCGTGTTCTTAGGGAAGATTCGGGTTTCAGTTAAAACGAGGAACTATGAAGGGCCCTCTCCAAAGCAGATGAGCATGTGGGAAAACAGGAAATCAGAAGGCCCCTCAGATAGAGTAAAGAGGGGTTGGTGGTGTGGTGCTGCTCTGCAAACGGAAGAGAGCAGAGAGCCAGCTGGCTCTGCATTTTGAACTGTGAGCAATGGTAAGCACAGTAGCAGAAAACTGGCCACTCAGAGATGTCCATAGCTGATCCCTGGACCTGGGAATATGTTACCTTACATGGCAAAAGGGACTTTGCAAATATGATTAAGCTAAGGATCTTCACTCTTGAGATTATTCCAGATTGCCTGGGTGGGCCCAAATAATCATAAAGTTCCTTCTAAGTGGACGGCAGGAGCGTGAGGGTCAAAGAAGATGTGATATTGGAGGCAGAGGTCAAAGTGATGTAGGGCAGTGAGCCAAGGAGTGTGGGCAGCCCCTAGAAGTTGGAAAAGACAAGGAAATGGATTCTCCCTTGAAGCCCTCAGAAAGATCATAGCCCTGCAGATAGAGTGTAGATTTCTGACCTCCAGAACAGTAAAATAATACAGTTGTGTTATCTAAAGCCACTACACGCATGGTAATTTGTTACAGTAGCAGTAGGAAACTGATACAGTGGGGGAAAGGATGAGAGCCTTTCTTGGATTGGCTGGCCTCAAATGCTCCCTCCAGCCCTGACCCAGTTCCATGTGGTATTAGAAGTCTGATGAATTCTACAGTCTTGTCAGATATTAGAGTAGCATATTAATGGAAAGGTGCTTTACCCTGGGTGATCTTCTCCTGGTGGACACAGAAAAGATATTTGTTACTTCCAAGACTGTATTAGTTATCTATTGCTATGTAACAAATTACCCCAAAACTTGGTGGCTTAAAGCAGCAAATATTTATGATCTCACGTTTTCTGTAGGTTGGGAATTTGGACATGGCTGAGCTGAGCGGTTTTGGCTCAGGGTCTCTCTTACAGTCTTGGGCAGGAGGTCGGCAGGGGCTATAGTCATCTGAAGGCTTGACTGGGGCTGGAGGATCCACTTCTAATATGGTGCCCTTGATGCAGGATTTTTTTGCTCCTTAGTTCAGCTAAAATCTGGGTTCTTGTCTCAGAACCAGGAAAAATTAGGCATGTGGAACATCGAAGGTTAAGGAAGGCAGATTTATTTGGTGAAAAGAAAGCTCTCAGCAAAGAAAGAGGGGATCCTGCCAACAGGCTGCCACATCGCAGACTGAATACCAGGCCACCACACACGAGCTGGAGAGGCCAGGCTCCTCTCTCTGCATAAGGCATGAGTTCCTGGTGGCTCCACCCCATTCCCCCAGTGCAAGTGGGCCTCCAGTCTGTTGTGGGCATGCCCAGGCAAGACCCTGTGCAGGCTCCCTTATCTGCCTCCTGAATCTACCACCCTCACATGACTGTAGGCCTTGGTTTCTCACCACATGGGGACCTCCTCACAACATGGCAGCTAACTTCCCTCAGAGAGAGAAATCCAAGGGAAAGTGAGCAAAGAAGAAACCATACTGCCTTTTGGCAGTATGTTCTCCCAAGTATCCCAAGGTTCACATCCCTGCTTCCATTTTATTCTACTTATTTGAAGCAAGTCACTAAGTCTAGTGTACTTTCAAAGTAAAAGGAATTTGGTTCCACCTCTTAAATGGAGGAGTATAAAAATATTGTGCAGCCTGGGCAACATGGCAACACCCCGTCTGTACAAAAAAAAAAAAATACAAAAAATTAGCTGGGCATGGTGCCATGTGCTTATAGTCCCAGCTACTTGGGAGGCTGAGGTGGGAGGATTGCTTCTTGAGCCCAGGAGGTGGAGGTTGCAGTGAGCCAAGATAACACCACTGCATTCTAGCCTGGGTATCAGAGTGAGACCCTGTCTTAAAAGAAGAAAAATACTGTGTACATATATTAAAGCCATCATAAAGAACATTAATTCCGAGGACTACTATAGTTCAAAGATTGAGGTCTCCATTGGGTAGATGGAAGTGATATGCAGCAGATACAATATTATACAATTTTGCATCTACAAATCATGTTTTTAAATGATAACACCTGATTTTGGCAGAGCCCACATCATTGCTGACATTAAAACTAGACAAATAAGCAAAACTCTTAGTAGTCTTAGTTTCTTTGTCAATACAAATCAATTTTAAAAATTGATAGGTTTAGAAAATTCATCTCTTGTCTGGCCGTGGTGGCTCATGCCCGTAATCCCAGCACTTTGGGAGACTGAGGCAGGCAGATCACCTGAGGTCAGGAGTTTGAGACCAGCCTGGCCAACATGGTGAAACCCCATCTCTACTAAAAATACAAAATTAGTCAGGCGTGGTGGCACATGCCTGCAATCCCAGCTACTTGGGAGGCTGAGGCAAGAGAATTGCTTGAACCCGGGAGGTGGAGGTTGCAGTGAGCTGAGATTGTGCCATTGTACTCCAATGTACATTGTACTTCTTTGTACTGGGTGAAAAGAGCAAAACTCTATCTCAAAAAAAAAAATCATCTCTCAACAAAGTACTATTTTCAAATAATCCTGTTGAAAATACTTGTAATATACCTTATGTAATGATTGCTAAAGTCATCCTAAAATATTGAATATCATATGGTATTTGCAGTTTGGAGGGGTTTTTTTTACATTGTTCACTAGCACTTGAACATCCTGCCTATTAAATTTGTGCAAAATATAAATATTGGGAGCTTTAAAGCTGGGCTAAAGTTGCCTCAGAAACTCAGAAATTCTTGAGAAACCTTTTCTGTAACTTTCTTTCTTTCTTTTCATCCTTCTTTGACATTAATATGAATCATCAGTTTCAAAAAATTGCTTGCTGAGATCTGATTTGACATCATGCTTTTATTACAATAATTATTCTATACTCAAATGTTTTGGCTAAAAACACTTGATTTAACCCTGTCCTTTCACACACCTATATCTTTAACTATTTCATCTATCTAAACAGCTAGAAATCTTAATTAAAGCTTATGAACACAGCAGTTTTTCTTCTATAATAATTCCATTATATTTAACCTCCCTTTGCTTGTCTTTAAAATAAAGTAGAGAGTTATTATTTTACTGCTCTTGGGAGTGTACATGTTAAGGTCTTCTTATGTGCCTGGGTCCAGCGTTGTGCCAAGGGGTTGGCCTCTGTGGTTTGATTTCAGAAGAAATTCTCCACTGTTCTGAATATTTGAAAGGTAATCAGGAAGAGTCATGGTCTTGCATTCCATAATTTGTCTTAAGGTTAAATAAAAGTAATTACTCTTTTTTGGAGCATAATACTGGTCCAAAACATTTGATATGCAATGTCTCATTTTGATCAGCACATCAAAACTGTTACGTAGGATCATCACAATCATTCTCTTTTGAGGTCTCAATGGATAGTGACTTGACCAAGATGGCCCAGACAGTGTTGAAAATATCACTCAACAGTAGGAGCCAGAAAAAAACGCTGGGCTTTTTATTCCAAAGTCCTAGATCTTTCCACTGTAACAGGATAATGTAATTCATACCAATATGTCAATCACAGTTCTCAGAGATGTGCCTTGGAGCATTGCTGCATAGGCAAAGAAAGGAGACCGAATATCCCAGGGACCCTAAGAGATAACTGTGGGGGCTAACCAAGCCTAGCATTCTGGGTCCACTCAGGAGACAGAAGCAACACAATGGAGAAGAAGTGGAGCAAAATGGCCAAATAGAAACCTCTACTGATCATCCTCCCCACAGGAACACCAAATCAAACAACTATCCTCACAAAAAAGCACCTTCATAAGAACCAAAAATCAGGTGAGTGATCACAGTACCTGGTTTGAACTTCACAGCCCTGTAAGAGGCACTGAAGAGGGTAGGAAAGAGAGCGTTGAATTGCTGACATCACTCCTCCCCCACCCCCTGGCAGTGGCCACAGGGCATGGAGACACAATCCTCTGTGTTTGGGGGAGGGAGAGCACAGTGATTGTGGGACTTTACATTGGAACTCGGTACAGCAGAAAGCAATACAGGGCTGAACTCAGCTGGTGCTCGCAGAGAGAGCAGTTAGGCCAGCCCTAGCCAGAGGGGAATTGCACATCCCAGCAGCCGGAACCTGAGTTCTGGCAAGCCCCACCACTGCAGGCAAAAGTGCTCTGGGGTTCTAAACAAACTTGAAAGGCAGTCTAGGCCACAAGAACTGCAATTCCTGGACAAGTCCTGGTGCTGTGCGGGGCTTGGAGCCAGTAGACTTGGGGGGCATGCAACCTAGTAAGACACCAGTTGGGACAAGCCAAGGGAGTACTTGCATTGCCCCTCCCACAACCCCAGGCAGCGCAACTCACAGCTCCGAGAGGGACTCCTTCCTTCTGTCTGAGGCGGGGGAAGAGTAAAGAAGACTTTGTCTTGCAACTTGGAGACCAGCTCGGCAGGATAGGGCACTGGGCAGAGTCCTGAGGTCCCCATTCCAGGTCCTAACTCCTAGATGACATTTCTAGACACACCCTGCGCCAGAGGGGAACCCACTACCTTAAAGAATCGCCTCAGAAGAGCAAATCTAACAGTTATTGGCCTTAAAGAGGAAGTAGAGAGATAGATAGGGGTAGAAGGTTTATTCAAAGGCATAATGTCAAAGAACTTCCCAAACCTAGAATCCTGCTCAGTCCCTGCAGGATTCATCAATTGCTGACCAAAGAGCTCTTGGGCCTCAAATAATCAGCAGTGAGGGTGAGACTCAGAGACATGCTGGCTTCTGGTGTGATCCAGCATACACCCAGCTTTGGTGGCTATGGGGACTCCTCATGCCTGAGAAAGGAGAGGGAAGAGTAAAGGGGACTTATCTTGCAGTTTAGGTACCAGCTCAGCCACAATGGGGTAGAGCACCAAGTGAGCTCTTGGGATCCCTGATTCCAGGCCTTAGCTCTTAGATGGCATTTGAGGAAGACCATTGCCCTGAAGTGAGAGTCCCATGCCTGACAGCAGTCCCCAAAGGCTGACTGAAGAGTCCTTGGACCTTGAATGAAAATCGATAGTAGCCAGGCAGTAGTCACCACAGGCCTCAGACAGGGGTGGCCCACAAGGAGAGACTCCTCTGCTCCTGTAAAGAGGAGGGAAGAGTAGGAAAGACTCTGTCTTGTTCTTCGGTGCCAGCTCAGCCACAGCAGAATAGAACACCAAGTAGATTCTTGTTTCTGATGCCAGGCCCTGGCTCTAAGATGGCATCTCTGGACACACCCAGGACTGAGAGGAACTTGCCACCTTGAAGGGAAGGACACAAGCCTGGCTGGCTTCACCACCTACTGATTGTAGAGCCGTAGGGCCTTAGGCAAGCATAGTTGGTAGCCAGGCAGTGGATACTGCAGACCTTGGGCGAGACCCAGTCTGACCCAGCACAGTTCTAGTTTTTGAACATTGCAGCCATATCTGCATTAGGCTGGCCACAAGGGCAGTGTGTCACCCCTCTGCCAGCTCCAGCAGCTCAGCACAAAGTGAGAGACTCTATTTGTTTGGGATAAAGTAAGGGAAGACAACAAGAATCTCTGCCTGGTAATCCAGAGAATTTTTCCTGATCTTACCCAAGACCACCAAGGTGGTAGGTACCCCTACAAGTCTGCAAAAGCCTCAGCATTATTGGGCTTGGGGTGCCCCCTAATGCAGATATGGCCGCAGCGACCAAAAACTTAGATCACAATACCCAAGTCCCTTCAAATGTCTGGAAAGCCTTCCTGAGAAGGACAGGTACAAACAAGCCAAGACTGCAAAGACTACAATAAATACCTAACTCTTAAATGCCCAGACACTGATGAACATCCACAAGAATTAAGACCATCCCGGAAAACATGACCTCACCAAATGAACTAAATAAGGCACCAGTGACCAATCGTGGAGAGACATATATGTGACCTTTCAGACACAGAATTCAAAATAACTGTTTTGAGGACACTCAATGAGATTCAAGATAACACAAAGAAGAAATTCAGAATCCTATCCGATAAATTTAACAAAGAGGTTGAAATAATTGAAAATAGTCAAGCAGAAGTTCTAGACTTGAAAAATGCAATTGACATATAAAGAATGCATCAGAGTCTCCTAGCAGCAGAATTGATCAAGCAGAAGAAAGAGGTAGTAAGCTTGAAGACAGGCTATTTGAAAATACACAGTCTACGGCCGGGCAGGGTGGCTCATACCTGTAATCCCAGCACTTTGGGAGACTGAGGCAGGTGGATCACCTGGTGTCAGGTGTTCAAGACCAGCCTGACTGACATGGTGAAACCCCGTCTCTACTAAAAATATGAAAAAATGAGTCAGGCATGGTGGCGCATGCCTGTAATCCCAGCTACTTGGGAGGCTGCAGCAGGAGAATCGCTTGAACCTGGGAGGCAGAGGTTGCAGTGAGCTGAGATCGATCATGCTATGGCACTCCAGCCCTGGGGGACAAGAGCGAAAATCTGTCTCAAAAAAAAAAAAAAAAAAGAAAAAAAAAGAAAATACACAGTCAAATAAGTCAAAAGAAAAAAGAATGAAGCATGTCTAGAAGATATAGAAAATGACCTCAAAAGAGCAAATCTAAGAGTTATTGGCCTTAGAGAGGGAGTAGATAGATAGGGGTAGAAAGTTTATTCAAAGGGAAAATATCAGAGAACTTCTCAAACCTAGAGAAAGATATCAATATTTAAGTATAAGAAGGTTATAGAACATCAAGAAGATTTAACCCAAATAAGAATACCTCAAGGCATTTAATAATTAAACTCCCAAAGGTCAAGGATAAAGAAAGGAACCTGAGGCCGGATGCAGTGTCTCATGCCTGTAATCTCAGCACTTTGGGAGGCCAATGTGGGTGGATCACCTGAGGTCAGGAGTTGAGACCAGCCTGGTCAACATGGTGAAATCCCATCTCTACTAAAAATACAAAAATTAGCCGGACGTGGTGGCAGGTGCCTGTAATCCCAGCTACTTGGGAGGCTGAGGCAGGAGAATTGCTTGAACCCAGGAGGCAGAGGTAGCAGTGAGCCAAGATCATGCCATGCCATTGCACTCCACCCTGAGCAACATGAGTGAAACACCATCTCAAAAAAAAAAAAAAAAGAAAGAAAGGAAGGAAGGAAGGAAGGAAGGAAGGAAGGAAGCAAGAAAGAAACCTAAACGCAGCAAGAGAAAAGAAACAAATAACATACATATGGCCAGCAGTGTATTTCTCAGTGGAACATTACAGCCAGGAGAGAGTGGCTTGACTTATTTAAAGTGCTGAAAAAATAAAACTTTCATCCTAGAATAGTATATTGAGTGAAAATATCCTTCAAACATGAAGGAGGAATAAAGACCTTCCCAGAGAAACAAAAACTGAGGAATTTCAGCAACACCAGACCTGTCCTACAGGAAATGCTGAAGGAAGTTTTTTTGTTTTTTTGTTTGTTTGTTGTGGGGTTTTTTTGTTTGTTTTTCTTTCTTTTTTTGAGACTGAGTCTCCCTCTGTCACCCAGGCTGGAATGCAGTGGTGTGATCTCAGCTCACTGCAACCTCTGCCTCCCAGGTTCAAGTGATTCTCCTGCCTCAGCCTCCCGAGTAGTTGGGATTACAGGTGCCTGCCACCGTGCCCGGGTAAGTTTTGTAGTAGAGACAGGCTTTCACCACGTTGGCCAGGCCGGTCACAAACTCCTGACCTTAGATGATCTGCCCATCTCGGTCTCCCAAAGTGCTGGGATTAAAGGCGTGAGTCACCACACCTAGCCAAGAAATGCTGAAGGAAGTTTTTCAATCTGAAAGAAAAGGACATTAATGAGCAATGAGAAATCATATGAAGGTACAAAACTCACTGGTAATAGTAAATACACAGAAGAACATAGAATATTATAACACTGTAACTGCAGTGTGTAAACTACTCATATCTTGAGTAGAAAGACTAAAAGATGAACTGATCAGAAATAATAACTAAAACATCTTTTCAAGGCATAGACAGTACAACAAGATATAAATAGAAACAACAAAGTTAAAAAGCAGGAGAGCAAAGTTCGAGTTTTTATTAGTTTTCTCTTTGCTTGCTTTTTTGTTTATGCAAATCAGTGTTAAGCTGTCATCAGTTTAAAATAATAAGTTATAACATGTTATTTGAAAGCTTCATGGTAAGGTAACCTCAAATCAAAAACATACAACTGATACACAAAAACGAAAAACCAAGAAATTAATATATACCACCAGAGAAAATCACCTTCACTAACAGGAAAACAGGAAGGAAGGAAAGAGGAAGAGAAGACCAGAAAACAAATAACAAAACTGCAGAAGTATGTTCTTACTTATCAATAACATTGAATGTGAATGAACTAAACTATCTAATCAAAAGACGTAGAGTGGCTGAACGGATAAAAAACAAGACCTAACAATCTGTTGCCTACAAGAAACACACTTCACCTATGAAGACACATAGACTGAAAATAAAGAGATGGAAAAAGATATTCCATGCAAATGGAAACCAAAAAAGACCAAGAGTAGCTATACTTATATCCTACAAAATAGATTTCAAGACAAAAATTATAAGAAGAGACAAAGAAGGTCACTATATAATGATAAAGGGGTCAAATCAGCAAGAGGATGTAACAATTGTAAATATATATGCACCCAACACTCGAACACGCAGATATATAAGCAAATATTATTAAAGCTAAAGAGATAGACTTCAATACAATAATAACTGGAGACTTCCAGAGAGAAAAGCAACAAAGAAACATCATACTTAATCTACAGTACAGACAAAATGAGCCTAACAGATATTTACAGAACACTTCATCCATCAGCTGCAGAATACACATTCTCCTCAGCACGTGGATCATTCTCAAGGATAGACCACATGTGAGGCCACAAAACAAGTCTTTAAAAATTCAAAAAGATTGAAATTATATCAAGTATTTTCTCTAACCACACACAATGTAATAAAACTAGAAATCAATAACAAGAGGAATTTTGAAAACTATGCAAATACATGGAAATTAAACAATATGTTCCTGAATGACCAGTGGTTCAATTAAGAAATTAAGAAAGAAATAGAAAAATTTCTTGAAACAAATGAAAATGAATACACAACATACCAAAACCAAAACCTATGGGATATAGCAAAAGCAGTACTAAGAAGAAGGTTTATAGCAATAAGCACCTACATCTTAAATGTAGAATATTAAATAAACAAGCTAACAATACATCTAAAATAACTAGAGGCTGGGTGCAGTGGCTCATGTCTGTAATCCCAGCATTTTGGGAGGCTGATACAGGAGGATCACTTGAGGCCAGGAGTTCAAGACGAGCCTGGCCAACAGGCGAAACCCCATTTCTACTAAAAATACAAAAATTAGCCAGGCATAGTGGCACATGCCTGCAATCTCAGCAACTCAGGAGGCTGAGGTGGGAGGATGGCTTGACCTTGGGAGGCAGAGGTCGCAGTAAACTGAGATACCACCACTGCACTCCAGCCTAGGCAACAGAGCAAGACTCTTTCTCAAAAAAAAAAAAAGAAAGAAAGAAAGATAAAGAACTAGAAAAAGAAGAGCAAACCAAACCTAAAATTAGTGGAAGAAAAACATAATAAAGGTCAGAGCAGAAATAAAATAATACAAAAGATTGATGAAATAAAAAGTTGGTTTTTTGAAAAGATAAACAAAATCAACAAATCTTTAGCCAGGTTATCCAAGAAAAAAAGGAGAGAAGACCTAAATAAATAAAATCAGAGAGGAAAAAGGAGACATTACAACTGGTACTGCAGAAATTGAAAGAATCATTAGAGACTATTGTGAGCAACTATATGCTAATAAACTGAACACATTCGAAGAAATGAATAAATTCCTAGATACATACAACCTACCAAGATTGAACCATGAAGAAATCCAAAATCTGAACAGACCAATAATGAGTAACAAGATCAAAGCCATAATAAAAAGTCTCCCAACAAAGAAAACCTTGGGACCTGATGGCTTCACTACTGAATTTTATCAAACATTTCAAAAAGAACTAATACCAATCCTACTCAAACTATTCCAAAAAATAGAAGGGGACAGAATACTTCCAAAGTCATTCTACAAGGCCAGTATTACCCTAATACCAAAATCAAAGACACATCAAAATAAGAAAACTCCAGGCCAATATCCCTGATGAATATTGATGCAAAAATCCTAACAAAATACTAGAAAACCAAACTCAACAACATATTAAAAAGATCATTCATCATGACCAAGGGGGACTTATCCCAGGGATGCAAGGATGACTCTATATATGCAAATCAATCAATATGATACCTCACATCAATAGAATGAAGGACAAAAACCATGAGATCATTTCAACTGATGCTGAAAAAGCATTTCATAAAATTCAACATCCCTTCATGATAAAAACCCTAAAGAAAACTGGGTATAGAAAGAACATACCTCAACACAATAAAAGCCATATAAGACAAACCCACAGCTAGTATCCTATTGAATGAGGAAATACTGAAAGCTTTTCCTCTATGATCTGTAAGATGACAAAGATGCCCATTTTCACCTGTTCAACATAATACTGGAAGTCCTAGCTAGAGCAATCAGACAAGAGAAAGAAATAAAGGGTATTCAAATTAGAAAGGAAGAAGTCAAATTATTCTTGTTCGCAGATGATAAAATCTTATATTTGGAAAAAAAACTAAAGATTCCACCAAAAAACCATTGGAAGTGATAAACAAATTCAGTAAAGTTAAAGGATACAAAATCAACATAAAAAATCAGTAGCATTTCTATATACTAGCAATGAATAATATGAAAAAGAAATCAAAGTAATCTCATTTATGATAGATACAAATAAAATAAAATACTTAGGCATTAACTTTACCAAAGAAGTCAAAGAGCTCTACAATGAAAACTGTATAACGTTGATGAAAGAAATTGAAGAGGACACAAAAAGAATGGAAAGCTATTCTGTGTTCATAGATTGGAAGAATCAACATTGTTAAAATGTTCATACCACCCAAAGCGACCTGCAGATTCAATGTAATCCCTATCCAAATACCAATGTCATTCTTCACAGAAATAGAAAACAATCCTAAAATTTATATGGAACCACAAAAGACCCAGACTAACCAAAGCTATCTTGAGCAAAAAAATAAAACTAGAGGAATCGCATTACCTGACCTCCAACTATACTACAGAGCTATAGTAACCAAAACAGCATGGTACTGGCATAAAAACAGACGCATACACCAATGGAGCAGAATAGAGAACCCAGAAACAAATCCAAACATCTACAGTGAAATCATTTTTGACAAAAGTGCCAAGAACGTACTTTGGGGGACAGGGCAGACTCTTTAATAAATGGTGCTGGGAAAACTGGATATCCATATTCAAAAGAATGAAACTAGAACCCTATCTCCTGCCATGTATAAAGATCAAACCAAAATGGATTAAAGACTTAAATCTAAGACTTCAAACTATGAAATTACTAAAAGAAAACATTGGGGAAACTCTCCAGGACATTGGACTGGGCAAGGATTTCTTGAGTAATACCCCATAAACACAGACAATCAAAGCAAAAATAGACAAATGAGATCACATCAAGTAAAAAAGCTTCTGCACAGCAAAGGAACCAATCAACAAAGTGAAGGGACAACCCACAGAATAGGAGAAAACATTTGCAAACTACCTACCTCACAAGGGATCAATAACAATAATATATAAGAAACTCAAACAACTCATAAAAAATCTAATAATCCAATTTAAAAACTGGTAAAGATTTGAATAGACATTTCTCAAAAGAAGACATACAAATGGCAGATAGGTAAATTAAAAGGTGCTCAACACAACTGATTATCAGAGAAATGCAAATCAAAACTACAATGAGATATCATCTCACCCCAGTTAAAATGTCTTTTATCCAAAAGACAGGCAATAACAAATCCTGGTGAGGATGTAGAGAAAAGGGAACCCTCATATGCTGTTGGTGGGAATGTAAATTAGTTCAACCACTATGGAGAACAGTTTGGAGGTTCTTCAAAAAGCTAAAAATCGAGCTACCATATGATCTAACAATCCCACTGCTAGGTATATACTCAAAAGAAAGGAAATCAGTATATCGAAGAGATATCTTCATTCCCATGTTTATTGCAGCACTATTCACAATAGCCAAGATTTGGAAGCAACCGATCTGTCTATCAATAGACAAATGGATAAAGAAAATGTGGTATATATAAATGAGGGAGTACTATTCAGCCGCAAAAAAGAATGTGATCCTGTCATTTGCAACATGGATGGAACGTGGATGGTCATTATGTTAAGTAAAATAAGCCAGGCACAGAAAGATAGACTTTGCATATTCTCACTTATTTGTGACAGCTAAAAATTAAAACAATTGAATTCATGGAGGTAGAGAGTAGAACAATGGTTACCAGAGGTTGGGAAGGGTAGTAAGGGTAGAGGAAGTGAGGAATGATTAATGGGTACAAACATATAATCCGATAGAACAAATAAGATTTAGTATTTGATAGCAAAATAATAATTTATTGTACATTTTAAAATAACTAAAAGAGGGCCAGGCGCAGTGGCTCACGCCTGTAATCCCAGCACTTTGGGAGATGTAGGCAGGCAGATCACTTGAGGTCAGGAATTCGAGACCAGCCTGGCCAACATGGTGAAACCCCATCTCTACTCAAAATACAAAAATTAGCCAGGTGTGGTGGTGCACACCTGTAATCCCAGCCACTCGGGAGGCTGAGGCAGGAGAATCGTTTGAACCTGGGAGGTGGAGGCTGCAGTGAGCCAAGATTGCACCACTGCACTCCAGCTTGGGCAACAGAGAGAGACTCCACTTCAAAAAATAAAATAAAATAACTAAAAGAGTGTAATTGGATTGTCTGTAACACAAAGAAAGGGAAAATGCTTGAGGTGATGAATATTCCATTTACCTTGATGTGATTATTATGCATTGCATGCCTGTATCAAAACATCTCATGTACCCTATAAAAATATACACCTACTGTGTACCTACAAAAATTAAAAATTAAAAACAGCAATAAAAAAAGAAACCACAGGGTAGGTTAGACAGGAAGTTGAATATAAAGCATTATTAATTATGATGAAAGAGGCCAGGAACAGTGGCTCACGCCTGTAATCTCAGTGCTTTGGGAGGCTGAGGAGAGAGGATCACTTGATGCCAAGAGTTCAAGACCAGCCTGGGCAATGTAGCAGGACCCTGTCTCTACAAAAATGTAAATAATTAGCCAGGTGTGGTGGTGCACACCTATAATCCCAGCTACTCGGGAGGCTGAGGTGGGAGGATCACTTGAGCCCAGGAGTTCGAAACTGCAGTGAGCCGTGATCGTGCTACTGCACTGCAGTCTTGGCAACAGAGCAAGACTCCGTCTCTTTAAAAAGTTAAAAACTAAAATTATTTTTTAATTTAAAAAATTAAAGGTTGACTATAAGACAGAAGCAAACTCTATTTGTTACCCTAGGGCGAGGGAGCGTCCCCAAGGAAGGACAGACCTTGAAGGAGTTCAGAGCTCACTGGTGAAGGTGTGGTTTGGCCTACAGGAGAGAAGAGTTCGCTGGTTTTGCCAGGCCAGAGCTGGTCTGGAGTTGCTGCAAAAGCGCTAAGCCACACTCCAGAGCACAAGAGGGCAGTGGGGATCAACAACCGGAGGTGTGGATGTGCAGTGGGAGTCGGGGCACCAGCAGGGCAGAAGGCCTTGGGGGTGCAGGCTGTGTGGGGGACGGTGAGACTTGCAGAGGGAGCTGCTGCTGAGTGTGTGACCCTCTTGGAGGGCAAGAGGCCTCCAGAGCGTGCAGGACGTGACAGGCTCTAGTTTGTGTGTCAAGAGGCCCAAGGAAAGCTTATCGCCAGGCTGAGACTACAAGGACACAGAGGTCTGACTCTCGAAATTTTAAGAATTGGCAGGGCGCAGTGGCTCCAGCCTGTAATCCCAGCACTTTGGGAGGCCAAGGCAGGCAGATCACGAGGTCAGGAGATTGAGACCATCCTGGCTGACACGGTGAAACCCCGTCTCTACTAAAAATACAAAAATTAGCAGGGCATGGTGGCACACGCCTACAGTCCCAGCTACTCGGGAGGCTGAGGCAGGAGAATCACTTGAACCTGGGAGGTGGAGGTTGCAGTGAGCCGAGATCGCACCACTGCACTCCAACCTGGGTGACACAGCGAGACTCCGTCTCAAAAAAAAAAAATTTAAAGAATTAATTCAGTAATAATTTAACTCACATTTATAAGGTACTTGTTATTGAATCTTTCTTTCAACCGAAATTTATTGAACACTGACTATGTGCCAGCCACTGAGTTAGATGGTACTATTTGCAAGACAATATACCAAAGGCACCGTAAAAAGAAAAGCATATGTCTAGTCCTCAAAGCACCTAGAATCTAGACACATAAATCAGTGGAATAGAACAGCAAACCCAGAAATAGAAGACCACAAATATGCTCCACTACTTTTTCCTTTTTTTTTTTTTTTTGAAACAGAGTCTCCCTCTGTCACCCAGGCTGGAGTGCAGTGGCACGATCTCAGCTCACTGCCACCTCTGCCTCCTGGGTTCAAATGATTCTCCTACCTACGCCTCCCGAGTAGCTGGGATTACAGGTGCCTGCCACCACGCCCGGCTAATTTTTGTATTTTGGGGAGAGATGGTGTTTCACCATGTTGATTAGGCTGGTCTCAAACTCCTGACCTCAAGTGACCCAACTGCATCCCAAAGTGCTGGGATTACATGTGTGAGCCACCACATGCAGGCTTATGCACCACTATTTTTTGACAAAATTACAAAAATAATCCAATGCAAGGAGAGCTTTTTCAGCAAACATTGCTGGAGCAATCGGATAGCCATAGAAAAAAAAATGAACTAGACCTAAACCTTACAGCTCATGCAGAAACTAACTCAAAATGGATCCCACAGTTAAATGTAAAACATAAAACTCTAAAACATTTAGAAAAACACATAAAAGAAAACTTTCAAGACCTACCTAGAGCTAGGTGAAGAGTTCTCAGACTTGACAGCAAAAGCACAATGCATAAAAAGAAAAAGTGATGAACCGCACATTGTCAAAATTAAAATCTTTCACTCTGCAAAAGACCATATTAACAGGATGAAAAGACAAAGAGCCTAGAGTTTGGCACAGTGGAAATACAAGCAAGAAGCCACGTGTATCAAAGAGGCCCAAGCAAACAACCATGAGAACACAAAGGAGAACGAGATTTATTTCAGCCCAAGGACTCTGCAAAGTCTGATGAGATGAGAACTGAAGTAGGATTTGAAAGCTAAGTAGGATTGCAATGGATGAACCTGGGAGTAAGAAGCACATCCAGTGGAGAATTAGCAAAAGCTACGTGGAAGGAAAGTGTAAGGAACACGTATGCAGTGCATAGGCCAGTACAGATAAAGGAGTGAGGGTGGGCAGGATGGGAAGTGAGCCTGGAAAGGTTCCTGGGGACAATGTGTGGGGACACAGCCCTGCTCCCAAATAGCTCGCAGGTACAAAATGATAATTACAATAAGATGCAGGTAACTCTGACAGGAATGAACTCTGGGCTTTCAGAAGAATGAGATTGTTTAGCCAGGGGCTGTCCTGAAAGCTCCCATCACTCCTTTGGAAGAGCCTGGAGGCAGCAGAACGGAAAAGGCTGGGCTGCCTCTGAGCCTGCGCTTTCCCTCTTCTGCCACCTGTCCAGGCACAGGCTGGGATACCTGAGTCAATCTTTTTCCCGTGGGAGCCTCTCCCTTGCTTCTTCCCACAGTCTTCCTCAGACTGACAGCAGAGCTGGAAAAAGCACACCTGTAGCACCAATCCAATGGGATTATATCCTGCTCTGTGCAAGGTAGAGCCACCCTTCCTTCCCTTGTCTAAGCTAAAAAGCTATTTTTCTCACTACAGGGAAGCAAAACAAAAAGTAGGTCAGTTAGCAAGTGGTTTATGAAGTGCTTACTCAAGAAACACATCTCGGTAAATGCTTGACTATTTTTCAAACATGTGTGTACCCTGGGATTTAAAAAAATCACTTTATTTTGACCATTAGAGTTTTATATTCACTCTTTACATCGACTCATCTTATTCTATCAGGAAAACTTAAGTGTCTTAAGCGTCTGTGGCTCCGAGTAAATTTCTGTCTGTTACCAGTTTCTTCCAGGTTGTCTTGCCGGTACCTCCAAAATACAAGTGCCCTTGCACTGTCCAAGGAGCATTTCTTTCAAAGGCAATTAAGTCGGCTGTCTTAAAATAACCAGGGATTAGATTACTGAATATTTACCCATTTCTAATCCTTTAGTAAAAGGTTAGAGCTGTTGGAAGGAAAGAGGTAGGAAAAAATAAAAGGAAATATCATTGACAAAAGAATCAGGGGCCGGGTGCCATGGCTCACGCCTGTAATCCCAGCACTTTGGGAGGCCGAGGCAGGCAGATTACAAGGTCAGGAGATCGAGACCATCCTGGGCAACATGGTGAAACCCCATCTCTCCTAAAAATATCAAAATTAGCCTGGCGTGGTGGTGCACACCTGTAATCCCAGCTACTCGGGAGGCCGAGGCAGGAGAATCGCTTGAACCCAGGAGGCAGAGGTTGCAGTGAGCTGAGATTGCACCACTGCACTCCAGCCTCAGTGACAGAGTGAGACTTCATTTCAAAAAAAAAAAAAAAAGAAGAAGAAGAATGAGGAAGACATATTGGCTTCCCAACTGGGAGGAAAATTTGAGTTTTTCTCTTGAATATTTAGTTGCCAGCCTCCCACCTACGTTGTCTCTCCTGCTCTCCTACCCAATCATGCAAGGGGAATCTTTGAAATTCTTGTTTTCATGTTGGTATTTCTCTCTTGTTTAACTGTTAAGGTCACAGAAACAGACTTGTAGGCTGATGCAGTCCTCAGAGGAGCCAAAACCAGAGGAGTTGTGGTTAATAGCACTGACTAAGTTTCTGGGACATTATCAGCAAAAATAACATACAGCTCTCATTGTTCAGTGAGTTTGATTTCTGAACTTACTCTGTCAGCAGAACTAGCCAGATTTCAACTGTAAATTAATCCAGATTTCAACTATAAATTAAACATATATTCTTTAAGATCAGGCGCAATGGCTCATGCCTGTAATCCCAGAACTTTGGGAGGCCAAGATGGGCAGATCACCTGAGGTCAGGAGTTCAAGACCAGCCTGGCCAACATGGCGAAACCCCGTCTGTACTAAAAACACAAAAATTAGCCAGGCGTGGTAGTGCGCACCTGTAGTCCCAGCTACTTGGGAGGCTGAGGCAGGAGAATTGCTTAAATTGGAAGGCGGAGGTTGCAGTGAGCCGAGATTGCCTCACTGCACTCCAGCCTGGGTGACAGAGTGAGACTCTGTCTCAAGAAAAAAAAAACAAACAAAAATACCTTTATTCTTTAAAAATGGTCGGAGAAATTAGGCAAATTCTAAAGCGGTCTCCTCCCTTGGCATCCCATAGAAAAATTAACTGGCAAAAAAGTACCTTTTCCCATAAAGTGGCAGTATAATATCTTTCTAGTTATTATCTGTTAATTGATGATTTCAGCCTGCCAGCTCCATTTTTCCATTCCCAGAGTGAATATCAAGTCAAAAGCAACTAACCCTACAGACCAAGAAAACAAAGCTCTAAAGCCATTGAAATTTCTTAAATTCTCTGTGTACATTATCTTAATACTATAATTGTTCTTTAAAATACATCATATAAACAAATGGTGTTGATGGGCTATGCCATGTTCCTGGCATGAATGTAGTATGACCTGGAAAACACACTTCATCATTCATGACTAGAATGTTCTCTCTGATTTATGCCAATAAAAACTTGGAATAATCCAAGATATACTTTACAAGTATTACATGAGAGCATGCATGCAAGAATTGTGACTCAAACACTTAAAACCCATTTTTGGCAATTGAAAAAAGAAAGTTCGGGAGGAGGAGGGGTTTGTCAGAGGTCTTTTGCTTGGTGTTTATTAAGAAACACCAGGATACAGTGAGGGCAAAGAGGCTGAGGAAACTTCAGAGAGAAGATGACATTGGATCAGGAACCTGAGGAATGATTGAGATTTCTCCACAGAAAGAAAAAGGAAGAGGACATTTCCAACAAAGGAAAACCAGGAGCACCCAAATGGCCTGGGAAGCATCTGCCTGGTTTCAAGTGTGTCTGCAGCACAAGGTCTAGGAAGAGACGAGGCAAGAACAGACACTGGGAAAAGGGACTGAGGTCTCAGCGTGAAGATGATTATTGAATGTCTTGTTCCAGTACGTGAAACCATCAAAAGTTTGTTTTGTTTTGTTTTGCTTTTTTGAGGCAGAGTCTCACTCTGTCACCCAGGCCGGAGTGCAGTGGCGCGATCTTGGCTCACTGCAACCTTCATCTCCCTCCCGGATTCAAGCAATTCTTCTGCCTTAGCCTCCAGAGTAGCTGGGATTACAGGCGTGTGCCACCACACCCGGCTAACTGTTATATTTTTAGAAGAAACAGGGTTTCACCATGTTAGCCAGGCTGGTCTCGAACACCTGACCTCAGGCGATCCTCCCACGTTGGCCTCCCAAAGTGCTGGGATTATACACGTGAGACACTGTGCCCGGTCCCATCAAAAGTTTTTGATAGCTATATTAACAGTGATAATAACATACTAATGTTTTCTATGTATCAAATATCCAACACCAAGAAATGCTGTAATTTATTTGTTAAAATCTCCTGTGAAGTGTCAACTATTCCCTGTTTTTTTGTCTTGTTTTGTTTTTTTGAGAAGAGTCTCACTCTGTCATCCAAGCTGGAGCGCAGTGGCACGATCTCGGCTTACTGCAACCTCTGCCTCCGGGGTTCAAACAATTCTCGTGCCTCAGCCTCCCATTACAGGCGCCTGCCACCACGCCCAGCTAGTTTTTTTTGTATTTTTAGTAGAGACAAGTTTTCACTGTGTTGCTCAGGCTGGTCTCGAACTTCTGAGCTCAAGCAATCTGCCTGCCTCAGCCTCCCAAAGTGCTAGGATTACGGTGTGAGCCACCACGCCTGGCCAGTATTCCCATTTTATAAGTAGGAAACTGAGTCATAGACAGATTAAATAACTTGTCCAAAGTCAAACAGGAAGTAAGCAGTAGAGCCAAGATTTAAACCTGGGTGCTAGCTCCAGAGCCCATGCTGTCTTGCTTCTTGAGGAAGTCATGACCATATTTTAGAAAAATAGCTCCACAGCTGTGTGGAGGATGAATTGGAGGAGACCAGAGGCAGACAGACAGTGAGGAGGCCCTTTCAGCAGTCCAAATGAAAGCAAATACAGGAACAAACTCAATGGGATCTAATAAACAAATGGAGCAGGGAAAGGGCAGAACAGGAAATAACTGAGGCTGCTAACTTGAATAACTGGGCAGATGGTGATGCCAATATAAGAGACAGAAAAACAAAGGAAAAGATATGAGATGGGTCAGGGGTAGAATAAGGAATAATGGTCTTTATTTGAGGCCAAATGGTTTGAAATATGAGGGACGTTCAAGTAGAGAGGTCTGGCAAGCAGCTAGAAAATCAGACCTGAAGTGTGGGAGAGGTCAAGCTGAAGACAGAGATGGACCGCTACTCTTGAAGGTAGCAAACGTTAACTTCAGCTCTCCTCACCCGCATGGGGTCTTCCAAGCACCTGGCAAGGGCCTTAGCAATATGTTCATGTTGTCATGTTTCTTTTTTGTAAAAATTTCAAAAGTAGGTTATTTTTGATGTGATTAAGACCAAGACTGTTACCTCTTTCCACCCTAACATCTTCTTCACACGTCCCCCCAGGTCAGGTGGCACTGGAGTCCTCTAGGCATTTTGGGGGACCTGTTTAGGGGCAAGATAAGTTTGAGATACAATATAGGTTGGGCTTCATGGGATACATTTAGGGGAGTTCCGTGTGTAACTAAGTTATTGCTAGCCATCCTAGCATAGACATTTTCTTAAAGAGTACTCCTGTGTTAAATTATATAAACTTCAAGCACCATGAAACCTAGAAGTGTCCCTGAATAAAGTCGGAGATGATAACTTGACATAGATGACAAGTGAAACTGACAAGATCACACAAGAAGAAGATGTAGCAAGAAAAGATGGCCAAGAATGGAACCTTCAGGAACCCACATTTAAGAGGAGGGTGGAAGAGAGCCAGATGCAGAAAGATTTATCAGCTAGAAAAGCCATGAGGGCATAAGAGTCTGGGAGTCAAAGGATGAGTGGTTTCATGATGGAGGGGCAGGTAGAACGAACATCAAATGCAGGAGAGGAACTGTTGAACTTAGTAGGTGTGTAGAGATGGGCTGAGTCACTAGGAGGTAGGAAACTTGAGGCAATGAGTATAAATTACTTTTTTTTTTTGAGACAGAGTCTCACTTCATCACCCAGGCTGGAGTGCAGTGGTGTGATCTTGGCTCACTGTAACCTCCGCCTCCCAGGTTGAAGTGATTCTCCTGCCTCAGCCTCCCGAGTAGCTGGGATTACAGGTGCCTGCCACCACGCCCAGCTAATTTTTGTATTTTTAGTAGAGATAGGGTTTCACCATGTTGCCCAGGCTGGTCTCGAACTCCTGACTCAAGTGATCTGCCCACCTCAGCCTCCCAAAGTGCTGAGATTACAGGTGTGAGCCACTGCGCCCGGCCAAGTATAAATTACTTTTTAAAGAAAGAATATCCCATTTGCTACATCCGGGGTATCCCACGTAGTTCTTGTGGTGTTTAATGTTATGCGTCAACTTGGTCGGACCGTGGTGCCTGGATATTTGGTCAAACATTATTCTGGATGTTTCTGTGAAGGTGTTTTTTGGATGAGATTAACAGTCATTGGTGGACTTTGTTTTATTTATTTTTGTTTGTTTTTTCTTTTCGAGACAGAGTCTCACTCTGTCATCCAGGCTAGAGTGCAATGTCACCATCTCAACTCACTGCAACCTCTGCCTCCCGAGTTCAAATGATTCTCTTGTCTCAGCCTCCCAAGTAGCTGGGATTACAGAGGTGCGCCTCCATGCCTCGCTATTTTTGTATTTTTGTATTTTTGTAGAGACAGGGTTTCACCATGTTGGCCAATCTGTTCTCGAACTCCTGACCTCAAGGGATCCACCCACCTCGGCCTCCCGAAGTGCTGGGATTAATTACAGGCATGAGCCACCGTGCCTGGCCTCATTGGTGGACTTTGAATAAAGCAACTTGCCATCCATATGTGGGTGGGCCTCATCAAATTGGTGGAAGGCCTTAATAGAGCAAAAGACTGACATTTCTTGAGCAAGAAGAAATTCTGCCACCCTGATGGCCTTCACACTTGAACTTCAACATTGGTTCTTCTGTGAGTGTCCAGCTTGCCAACCTACCCTGCAGATTTTGGACTTGCCAGCCTCCATAATTTAATACAGTCCTGTAGATACAAACTTGTTCAAGAATGTCTTTAAGAAGCTTACCCAGTGCAAGGGGAGAAGTGGAATTCACATCAGGTAGAAGAGCAGGGAAGGTTTCACTAAAGAGACTGCATTTCAGGTAGGCCCAGAAGGACGGGTTATATTTGGGTAAGCAGTGACTGGAGAAGAGCAATTTCTGTGGAAGTTACAGTTGGATGAGGAAATGCATGGAGCCTAATCAGGCATTCATAGGAATCTAGTTTGGATCTGGTATGATAAGCATAAGAAACCAGAGGGACTGATCCATTAGAGCCAAAGTGTAGAGAATGCTTCAGTATTAGGAATGAGGTGTTTGAGATTCTTTTAGGAAGCAGAGAATTACAAAAGGTCTTTGAGCAGGAAAGTGGAATGACTGAATTTCATAGTACAAACAATCCCATTAGTGCATGCGTTGGGTTCTAACCACTTTCAGTATAATATGTGCCACGCACTGTGCTAAATGTTGTAGATATAATGACAAAAGACACAGCGTCTGAATTCAAGGAGCTCACAATCTGTGAGGAAGTAGGAGATAGAGAAGGGAAAAATTATAATGCAATATAATAACTACATGGTACAAAAGAATTACACAAGAAGGACAACTAATCCAGGTGCAGACATGGGGTGGGTTGAGATATGGAGGGTCATAGAAAACTTCCTGGAAAAAGCAATTCTAGGCCAGGCTCAGGGGTGCATTGTAGTCCCCACTACTCAGGAGGCTAAAGCGGTAGGGTCACTTGAGCCCAGGAATTCGAGACCAGCCTGGGCAACATATCAAGTCTCGGTCTCAAAAAAAAAAAAAAAAACACAGAAATACACAACAACAAAGGGAAAAAAGTAGCCTGGGCAACATTGCAGGGAAAAAAGAAAAAAAAGCTGGGCATGGTGGCACATGCCTGTGGTCCCAGCTACACAGGAGGCTGAGGTGGGAGGATTACTTGAGCCCGGGATGTCAAGGCCACAGTGAGCTGTGATCAGACCACCACACTTCCAGCCTGGGTGACAGAGACAGACCCTGTCTTCAAAAAAAAAAAAAAAAAAAAAAAAAAGAAAGAAAGAAGAAAAAGAGGAAAAAGAAAACAATATTTTAGGACACTTTTCTTTCTCTGAATAATATCTCATAGAAACTAGGTTGAATAATTGGAAAATACATTGCTATTTCATCTCATACAATGTTAACGATGGTGTTTAGGTCTCCCAGGTCAGACTCAAAAGGTTAATTCATGACTATCTTACAGCAGTATTTTCTGGATTCCAAAATAAGAGGCCTAGAACTGGCAATATGCAAGATCTGAAATTGGACAGGTTAAATTTTTAAATCCTTCCTTCTCCTTTTCTTCATTTTCTTCTTTTGCTTAAGGCTCCTCCTCCCAGAACCTCTGGCCTAAGGCCTTCAGCCTTCCCTGAGGCACTCAAGTGTTTTTCCAAAACTTGATTTGCCCCAAACTTTCTGGGCTTAGGTGCTACTGATCTGCGTTAAAAGGAAGGCGACGTGGCCACATGAAGTATGGTAATCCCAGCACGTTGGGAGGTCGAAGCAGGAGGATTGCTTCAGCCCAGGAGTTCAAGATCAGCCTGGGCAACATAGCAAGATCCCATTGCTATAAAAAAGTAAAAAAATTAGCTGGGGATGGTGACAGGTGCTACTCGGGAGGCTGAGATGGGAGGATTGTTTGCGTCCAGGAGGTCAAGGCTGCAGTGAGCTGTGATCATGTCACTGCATTCCAGCCTGGGCAACAGAGTGAAACCCATCTCAAAAAAAAAAAAAAGCAACCTGATTGAACTAGTTAATGCCAATGTGTGAACAACTATCAAGCACTCCTACCTCCTAGAGCCATTTGCATCTTTAAGAAATGATACTTAAGAATCTTTGGTGGAATTCCAGGCAATAAAAACAAGGCCTTTGTGTATTTGTTTACATAGGCAACTTATAAGTCAAGAGTCGAGAGGATGAGGTCTACCAATACTATGTTTCCCCTTCAGACAGTTTGTGACTTTGGTAAGTGTATTTCTGCATCATACTTTACATCTAGTTACCTCTATTATTACAATCTTGTTTATTTGGCATTTGATGGACCAAAATTAGCTACAAAATCCTTTTTAATGAAACCAAAGTAGGGGATTAGGCCGGGTTACAGTAATGCCTGTAATCCCAGCACTTTGGGAGGCTGAGGTGGGAGGATCACCTGAGTCCAAAAAGTTGAGGCTGCAGTGAGCCATGATCATGCCACTGCACTCCAGCCTGAGCAACAAAGTGAGATCCTGTCTCAAAAAAAAAAAGGACAGAAGGTAAGAAAGAAATTAAACTAGGGGACTTAAACACCTACTTCTTCAAAAAGAATTTAAAAATCTAGGTATAAGAAATCGTTCGATTATTTCATCTCTTTCCAGCTTCCTTTGGATACTAATCTAGTTGAATTACTCTGTATAGTTAGTTACAGCATATACGTAACTACGTTTATAAGCAGAACTATTTTTTTTAAAAAAATCACAAGTAATGTATATTTCATGATTTGGATTAAATAAACAAGTTTAATTGAAAAATTATCATTGTCATAGGTAATATTTATTAAGGATTTAACTTACAACAACCTTATATGAGATACTATTATTATTAATTTTTTGAGGCAGAGTCTCACTCTGTCACCCTAGGCTGGAGTGCAGTGGCGCAATCTCCACTTACTGCAACCTCTGTCTCCTGGGTCCAAACGATTCTCTTGCCTCAGCCTCCTGAGTAGCTGGGATTACAGGTGCATGCCACCACACCCGGCTAATTTTTGTATTCTTAGTAGAGACAGGGTTTCACCTTGTTGGCCAGGCTGGTCACCTCAAGTGATCCACCTGCCTTGGCCTCCCAAAGTGCTGGGATTACAGGCATGAGCCACCATGCCCGGCCAAGCTACTATTATTATCATCCCTATGTCATAGACGAAGAAACTGAGGCACAGAGAGGTTAAGTAACTTGCTCAAAGTTCCCCAGATAATAAGCAACGATGCCAGGATATAAACTCTGGCAGTTTCATGTTCCCTCCCGGCTGCTTCCCACCTACTTTTGATTCAGTAGATCTGGAACAGGGCCCTCGGAATTAGTAAAGTCCCCAGCTGATTCTGAAGCAAAGCCAGGTTTGAGAACCATCCTGCTAATTCACTTTGCGCTGGATGGCTAGTTACTTACCTGTGTCTTAGAAATAACAGTTCATATGGTTAATCAAGTAACACCTGTACCCTTTCATTTCAGTAGTAAGCAAATTTGCTTGGAATCTGCTTCAGTGTTCTTTGGGCACAGTGCTGAGGGGGCAGGTGAACCTTAGGAAATTGTCTCTCACCCCACAGCACAGACCACCTAGTTTAAAGGCACATGTGAACAGGCAATCAGGGAGAGATCACAAAGCTTGGGTAGAAGGTGTAAGGTGGGCTTCCTGGGAGGGGGTGTGAGCTGGATCTTGAAAAGTGAGCATGATTTGGAGATGGAGGAAAGAAGTGGGAAATGGTATCTGTTAAGGGAACAACTGAAGGAGGCCCTCATAAATGGCGACTCACAGCTCATCTGTGGGCCAGTGAGTACAACCAACAGGACCGGATGGCATTGAGAGTTCCTTCTGGGAAGTGGCAGGAAATAAATTTGGAAATGCAAGTTTGGACAAGATCTGGTAAACCTTAAGTGCCAGGTCCAAATTTGGATTGAACACTATAAACAATATGGAACCACTGAAGCTTGAAAGGACAAAATTATAATGATGAAGGTATCAGTTTAGAAGGAATAATCTGCCATCAGTCAGGACACAAGTGGAAGGATAAAGAGATAAGAACCAGGAAAAGCATTTAGAAGGCTAAAGGACCAACATAAGTGTGGGAGAATATCTTAGTAAAGGAGTGGATATACACAGAATCATGAGTCACTGGGTCAGGTTATGCCACTGATCAGGCTGAGTGATTTGGAGCAAATTGCCTAACATCTCTGAGCCTTAGGTTTTTTCATTGAAAAAATGGGTATGATGATGATAATGACTGACCCAAAAGAGGCAAACGATTTCTCTACGATGGTGACAGCTCTGGGATACAAGGTGAACGGGCCAGGATTTTGAGTCTGTTTCCAGGTCTGTATGAATTAAAGAATGTGTTATGAATGGCAACAGAGACAACCACTTTGTGGACGATGAGGAAGGGAGGGGAACTAATGGTTGGTGAATGTTCCACGAATTACGTGGGAATTATAAATAAATTACTCTTCACACTCTTATGAAGTAGGTATTTTTATCTCAAATTAACAGTTGACCTTACTAGAGCAAAAGATAGTAATTTGAGTTACTGGATATGACTCAAATTTGGGTAACTAGATACAAACCAAGGTCTAAAATCTAAAACTTGGGCTTTTCCAGCTAGTACATCATATTTAGATTTGAAAGTTATATTTTATTTCATTGCTTTTGGCCTAATGTTGTAGCCTGTTGAGACTGTTTTGAACTTTGATTCTGACATCTATCAAATTAATTATCCCTCCAAACTTTGGGTCATCCGAGAGAGACATCAATTTTGCTGAGTTGGGGGGTAAAGATGGAGGAAGGATGTTTTAAAGTAGAAAGAGAGCAGCAGGTGGCCTTGACTTGTGAGGTAGGCGGCAAGGTTATCTGCGCAAAGTAAATGCAATCTGGATGTTAAGTGGACGTAAAAGTCGATGGAATAAATTTGCTGCTAAGAATGATCGTGTAGGCAGGTGGAGAGTAAAGAATAGAAAGGAGTTAAGAACCAGGAATGGAGGCAGTGAGAAGAGAGAGGGTGGTGTGGGTGGACCAAATACTGCTATTAAGGAAAAAGAGAGGGTGGAGGAAACAAACAATACAGGGAAGGTTGACCCACTCAGCCCTTCTATTCAGCTGGAGGAAGTCACAGAAAAGGAGGCTATATTGAATGGTAAGATTGGAGAAGACTGGTTAGGGAATAGGAAGATAAGCTGTTGTCTAAAAAACGCAGTCTCCAGTAAAAGGAAGAAATTGGGACATTTTTTTAAAACCCCACATAGGTACACTGGAAAACATGGGCCACAGGGATAAACCTTCCATTTTTACTTCCAACCTTACCATGTGCTCACAAAAAAAGGTGTTAAATACATGTAAGTTTTGACGAGGTTATTTAAAAGTGTAGGATATAAACCAAGAATTTTTCACACCCCAAAACCCCGCACAAATTAAGGGATTACATATCTGAGTGACAAGTACATACAAACGCATTACTTCTAGAGATACTTAGATGTAGATAAAAGACCACATTTCAATAGAAGGATCACACAGACCAGTGGGATGTTTCTTCTGAGATAACCCACTTTATGCAGGAAACAGTGTGGACTCTGGGGACGGCCTCTGCTCTGGCTGAGGATTTCTGTCCCAGAGCGGTACAGGAATCTGCGTAGTGTTTTAGTTTGGAGAAAACAGGAAGTTACACTCATCACATCTTTTGCCCAGATGATAGAATTCGAAATCCCCCCGGGGTTGTTCATGGAATGAGCCGCTCTGTTATGTTGTGAGCCGTGGTATTAATCAGCCACCCCTCACTAGGTGTTGGGGTTCCACCACGCTTCCTCCACCCCCCGTCACCACAGCAGCGGGTAGTATTTAGGTTGAATATTCCAAATAGTCAATTATGACAGTTAATTTCAAATGAGATGACTTCGAAGTACACGTGAAAACAATACTATTTTATATCACGACTCATGCCATCCGTATGTGTAATCAAAGCCTTCTAAGTCTTGATATGTCCTTACAAAGACGAAGGATAGAGTGAATGTCAAAATTTGCCAAACAGGAGTTACTGAAAGTCTGAAGGGGAAAGCCTAGTTAGGTTTTATCTTAGAAGTGATTTTTAAAACGAAACACGCAGATAAGCTCGAGCTTTCTGGAGCCGATTCCTAAGGCCTTGCAGGTGGTAAGGGGGTCGAGAATTGGCTGAGGTTCCTCGGAAGTCCGCGCCGATTCGGAGGGCCACCTCTGACTTTCTGATCTGGGGTGCAACCCCCAGTCCCTGTCCCGGTCGACAAAGGTGTGGAGTCAGGTTCCAGGCAAGCTGGGGGTGGGGGTGCGCACAAGGGAGGGGCAGGGGACTGGGACCCCCTCTTCTTCGGGGTGCTTCGGGCCGTTTCTCCAGAGGCTGGTGGTGTCCCCGACCCAAGCAGCTCAGCCCCGCTCGCGAGGTCCGAAGTGGCGGGAACGGGTCCTCCGCGGCGGTCCCAAGGCGAGGGAGGCTGTAAAACCTGGCAGAGAATCCGGCGCGCCGGGTCGGGGATGTCTCGGGTGCCGGGGGCAGGGGCCGCAGGCTCGCAGGTAGAAGCTTCCCCACGCGAGCGGGGGCCTCGGCCGCGGAAGGGGCGCCCCCGGGGCCGCCGGCAGCGGCGAGCGGGCGGGAGGGAGCTTTCCGGGCCCCTCCCGCGCCTCGGGCTGGCGGGGCGATGGCGACGACGGTTTCCCGGCTCCCCCGCCCCGGACGCCGATGGCGGTGCGTTCCGGCCCTCCCCCAACAGCTTCTCCCCCGCGGTCGCCGGAGCCGGTGAGGCCGAGAGGGCGGGGAGCCGCGCAGGGAAGGCGAGAGGGCGGAGGTTGCGTGGTGCAGGCGGCGGCGGCGGGAGGAGGAGGGCCGGGCGGGCAGGGGAGGAGGAGGAGGCGGGCGCCGTGTCGCACGCAGCTCCAGGCGGGGCAGCCCCGGTAGCTGAGGGACGCAGCTAGACCTTGGCGGGACGGGGCTTTCGCCGGGGCCCAGGCCCAGGGACCAGGCGGAGGCGTCGCGGGAGCCTTTGGGGCACCACAGAGATGCGGGTGAGTGTCGGCAGCCGCCGGGGCCGAGAGGAGGTGGCGGCGGCGGCGGCGGCGCAGGCCCGGCCCCGAGCCGCGGTGTCGCAGTGACTCGGGCCGCGACGGCCGAAACCAGGCGCCTGGCGAGGCCTGAGCCGCCGAAACGCGGCCGGGCAGAATGGCGGCCGGGCCGGGGGACTCGTGGGCGGAGGACGCCGAAGGTGGCAGAGGAGCGAGCGGGGCCGGGCCCTGAGTCACCCCGGACGGGCCGGGGCGGCCAGGCCTGGACTACGCACTGGGAAAAAGCACGATTCATCGCGCCTGGAGGCGGCGGCCTGGTGGCGCCGGCCCCTTTCCCCGCCGCGACCGGGCTGGGTTCTCGGAGGGTGGGCCGACGTGTGGCCCGGGGCGGCTCGGGCGTCCGCGCCTCGCCTGGTGAGGCGACCTCCGCGGGACGCCGGGACCCGTGCCCTTGCCCCCTCGCGCCCACGCTTCTTCCCGGCGCTGCTTTCCGGCCGACGCGTGTTCCCCTGTGAGCTCTGGGCTCAAGCGCAGGAGCAGCCGCGGAGCCGGGCTCTCTCGCTTTCCGGTTCCCTGCCCGCGGCTCTCGGGTTCCCCGCCTGCATTGTTGCGAACGTGCAGGGCGCTATTATTGGGTAACAGTCGCCCTTTTGCCCCGTTCTCCTGGGAGAGCGGGCCGGGGCATGCGCGCAGGGATGCTAGCCCGGCGGCCGAACCGGACAGAGCCCCCCGGCGCCCGCCTATCGCTCGCTAGTCGGGCCGGGCCCTGCGCTGCGGCCTCGGCGCGCCCCCGGTCCCAACGGGAGCGCGCGCCCTGACCCTGAGGGTAGCCGTGCGCCCGCCAGGCCGCTGGGACTTGGGGTCCCCAGACTCGGGGGTCGTCGCTTTTTTTTCCCTTAAGATCTGAAAGACCCCCGTTTCTGCCACCCGTGCAGTATTGTGTAGCGCAGACATAAGATAAGAAAGAGAGGAATGCTTGTAGACATTCCTTGAAATGAATCCCCAAAGTTAGGGTTTTCTCCCTGGCTGGCTTTGCCAAAAAGAGGATTCTCTTTTCCGATTGGGTCACTCTTGGTTGCTTCTGGTTCGTAGTAGGGGTTAGTGGTAAGTGCGCAAATACTGAATTGCAGTCTACTTAAATATTTGTTTGCTCTGTGTAATTGCTCTTTCCTGTAGTAGCATTAAAATCGTCAAAAGTTCTGAGTGGAGTAAACGATCACACTTTTTGGAATGCACTTAACGAAGCGGCAGAAGAGGAACTAGATTCCTTTTTTACTTCAAGCCATGAGCTTCTAGGACCTAAGCATAGCTTAACGCCTCGCAGAAGTGTGTGCAGTTTTAAGTTTAACACTTCATTTCATGGTGCACCCGAAAATGTACCCGATTTTCTGAAATCCTGGAGAGTGTATTACGTAGTAAAATATGTAATGATGTTTAAAATGTAAAACCAGTCATTCTGTTTGAAAAAGATATTTGGAGATGAGATTTTTCTTTGTTTAAAGAAGGTTTGTTTTTGGATATTGAAAAATGTTTTACTTGAAGGTTCTATTTGTTGTTTTCCATGGTGAGTCGAAATAGTTGCGTTACATTTCAAATTCCAAAGCATGCAAACACAAGACTGGCTCGCTTTAACTCTATTAATGCCCATTTTTGGAGGTTTCAGGAGAGTGTTCCTTAAGCTTGAGAGGGATGGCTGAATTGCTTTCTAAATATGTTAAACTTTTTTTCTCATTGGCTTCATCTTTTAAAAACGATTTTGTCAAAAAACAAACCAAATT